>NC_000015.10:85986732-86138247 GCF_000001405.40 Homo sapiens | reverse complement strand
GATGTAGCCCTGTGTGTTCCGAGGGCAACATGGCAGAGCATGGGGAGGCTGGGGGATGAATCTGTCTGCAGTATGACCAGATTGAATAAAGCAGATGGTGAAGGGAATTGCACATTATTTGTGGGCAAGAACTAGGTCTTATTCATATCTCTATTCCCACCTCACGAGCTGTAATAGATAATCCATATATTTTATTAATTTCTCAAGCTAAGGAATGGCCTGCTTTATTATAATGCCCACTGATACTCCCTGAGAACAAGCATTGTCTTCTATACTTCTGTTTTATCTGCCAACAGGGATATAGAACTGGGCATATGGTATATATTAAATCAACATTTAATATACAAATCAATTAAATTGGTTTGACCTGTGGCCAACATCATATGCTGCACACACTTCAGTCATTCCTCCGGAGCTGCCTCTGAGAAAACCCCATTTGCTTCAAATACAGGATGGTTGAGTGTTGATGGAGGATGTGGGTCTCTCTCCCCTGCCCAGGGAATGGGCCATGGTTCATCTCCTCTAAGCTTTTTCTCTTTCCTGTGGTTGGTTTAGAGGAGGATATGAACCCAGATCAGAAATAGAAAACCTGAGAGGATACCTGCAAGATTTTGGAAAAAATTTTTCTCCAGAAGTTAAAAAAAAAATTTAAAACAAAACACAAAAAATATTTCCTGTGTTTGGACATTGCCGTATGAAGACACAATTTTGGGTCCTCGGTGACTGGTAAGCCACCAGATCAACTCTAAGGAGCCCCCCACATGTGGGCTTTCAGATAAGAGAAATAATGAATATCTTACTTAAAAAAGCCACTTTTAGTAAATTCAGATGTGACAGAGAAAAGAAAATTTTACACCTCCACGTGCTCTCTTCCCAAGTACTGTGGTCTTGAAAAATAGGAAAGAAGTTGGTTTCACAAACAAACCAGAGAGCCAGCTCACCCACAGGGTCCTGCCACCCCATGGAAACTAAGAGACAGTGTTGTCCTAAAGACGTTCAGTTCATAATGCCCTCACTTAGCGCTGAGCCAGAATGGAGCAGCACAAATGGTTTTACTTTAAGTAAACATTATGGTGATCAGTGGAGAAAAATAATCTCAACTGGCATTAATTTATGTACTGCTACATTTACCAATAAATATTTTACACTATTTAGAAGAATAACACAAAGCTGTTATCTCACCCACAGTAATAATAAATGAGCAGTTAAAGAAGGCAGGATGTGATGTGCCTTGATTTTCCTTTAATGATCCTTTGAAATGAAACATTGAGTAATCCCCTGTTGTTGAAAAAAATCCTATAAAAAAATGTATCTACCAAGCTTTCAGGGAGACTCAGGGAGTTGGAGTTGGAAGAACAGTGTCTTTCATAGTCTGTGGGGTTTTGAACTGCAATTTTCTCAAATACTGTTTTGAATGTGTCACTCCCTGCTTTAAAATCTTCTATGTGTCCCTGTTGCCTTCCTCCTCCCAGCTCCTCACCACAGTATGAAAGTGACGCCCTTTACGTCACTCTGCCTTTGGAGGCTCAGCTGCAGCCACTCCTCCTACCCCAACACTCCATGCCAATGATACAGAACCAGTTATTATGTACCAAGAGTATCATGGGTACCTCTGCTCTCAAGTCTGGGCTCATGCTGATGCAGGCTTAAGCATCATTTCTCCCCACTCTTTGTAGCATATGTTAATTCTCAGCTCCAGTTCCTTTTCTTTATGGTTTTCCCAGCTAACCTGCCTTCCCAGCCCCCATTACCCACAATTGCCACATATGTCTGCTCCTATTGGGCTCTGCACAACTCCAGGGCTGCTGTTCACAAAGACTACAACATGATTGGTGCCCCACCAAGTGAGGCACTGTGGTGGCCTGGCCTCTCCAAGAACAGAATTATTTGTTCTAATTCGTTGTCCAACAACACTTTGTACATACCTTTTATTAAAGTTCTTACTTGATGCTGGTTATTTTCTTATATCTCTGTTCTCACTGTCTATTGTGGGGGTAACAAACTATCCCAAAACTTAATGCCTTAGAACAATGGCCTTTTAATTCTAGCTATGGATTTTGTGGGTAGGTAAATTTGGCCAGAACTTGGCTGGGAGATTCTACTGCTTCCCATGGTATTAACTGAGGTCACTGAGTGCCACTCAACTGGCAGATGCACTAGACTGGAGGGTCTATGTTGATTTCAATCACATCTGGCACCTTGACAGGTATAGCTAGAAGACTGGGCACACCTGGACTAGTGACCAGAATGCCCACATATGTCTTTTTCAGCATAATAGTCTTAAGGTACCTGGACCTCTTCCATGGCAGCTGGCTTCCCCCAGATCAAGTATTCCACATGAACCGGGTGAAAGTTGCAAGGCTTCTTTTGTCTTAGCCTCAGAAGGCCAAACATCACTTCTGCCACATTCTATTGATTAATCAAATCAATCTGGACGCTAGTCCAAATTTAAGGGGAGGGGAGTTAGACTCTACCCCTCAACTGGAGGAGTAGAAAAGAATTTTCAGCCACTTTTAATCTCCCACACTCACTTTAGACTGTGAGCTCCTCTAGAGCAAGATTTTTGACTCATTCCTCTTGCCCTCCCCTGATCCTAGCATGGGGTCTTTCACACAGTAGGCATTCAGGGAACTATGGAATGATATGAAGTGGGATTCAGACTGAATATGCAATCTGACAGAGCCTTGTCATTCTGTTCTCGATGCCAGGATGTAAAGTCCATCTCAGTGAGAACATTGTTACAGAAGTTTACAAGGTGCACAGCTCAATTTTTCTGTCAATCTAGCAACTGAGCAAGCAAATACAGAGTGCCAACTATGTGTCAGTGTTTTAGTCTGTCTTTTGTGTTGTTATTTTTTAAAGCTTGAGATTGGGTAATTTATAAAGAAAAGAAGTTTGTTTGGCTCACGTTCTGCAGGCTGTACAAGAAGCATGGACCCAGCATCTGCTTTTCGTGAAAGTGTCAGGCTATTTCTGCTCATGGTATGAGGCAAGAGGAGCCTGCATGTGCAGATCACAGGGTAAGCGAGGAAGTGAGAGAAGGAAGGGAAGTGCCAGGCCTTTTCAACAACAAGCTCACGTGGGAAACAGGAGTGAGAACTCACCCGCTCCTGTGACAGTGGCACTCAGCCATTCATGGGGGATCTGCCCCTACGATCCAAACACCTCTCATTCCATAGTTTCCTGAATGCCTACTCTGTGCAAGGCCCCAGCGCCCCATTAGGCCCCAACTCCAACATTGGGGTTCAGATCTCAACATGTGACTTGGTAGGGGCAAACAAATCATATTCAAAACATAGCAGTCAAACACTGTTAAAAAAAAAAATAGGCACCATTGGCTGGCACAGTGGCTTACACCTGTAATCCCAGCACTTTGGGAGGCTGAGGCAGGCAGATCATGAGGTCAGGAGATCGAGACCATCCTGGCCAACATGGTGAAACCCCATCTCTCCTAAAAATTAAAAAAATTAACTGGGCGTAGTGGCACGTGCCTGTAATCCTAGCTACTCGGGAGGCTGAGGCAGAAGAGTCGTTTGAACCTGGGTGGCAGACGTTACAGTGAGCCGAGATCATGCCACTGCACTCCAGCCTGGGCGACAGAGTGAGATGCCATCTCAAAAAAAAAAAAAAAAAAAAAAAAAAAGGCACCATTGATCCATCACAGTCTTAAAGTGGAGGGGAAAAAAGGATCCTGTAGTCCCCCTCTCAATTTTCTCCACAAGTCTAGATCCAATTTTACTAGACTGGGAAAAAAACAGTCCATCCCCTCGCACTTTGAGTAGTGCCCCTGATCTCACAGAAATAGAGTGCTTATGCCCTGCCAGACTGAAAGAACAAGCCCATAACATTCTATTTCTTAGCCTCTAAAGAATAAGACAGAACCTTTCCAAACTCATGAGCCAAGAGCTCAGGACACAGCTCATAGCCCAAGGAAACCATATTGCCAAAAATAAATTTGTTCTTCCAGTCATGCAGTTTGAACACTCACTAGAGATGGTCCACTGGTTAAATAAAAGACATTATTAAATTTGAAGTTGTTAATGAATGACTGAAGGGAGCACTAATCACAAACTTCAATTACTAAAAATGGTTATATAACACCAAAAATAGTGACCAGCCGCTCTCTGTCTTCACACAAGAGGAAACAGGCAGAAACTGCATGATTAGAAATTTAGTATAAGTTGAAGGAAAACATTTCCTGGAGAGGTTGAAATGAGTTCATAAGAAAGAAGTGTTTTAGAAGACTATGGGCTGAATAACTATGATATTTGTTTCAATAATGGTGGGGGTTGGCATGGAAATACTGAAGACATATAAGAAAGACGTCTGCTATCACTACAGAAGCTGGGTGGTAGGTAATGTGGTTTTGTAACAAAATGTTAAGATATAAAATAAAACAAAATAAAAAAATAAATGGCATATACTATTTTCTGACTGGAGTATCTTAGATGGAACCTTGAAAACAACCTCAACAAGATCTTTGCTGAGAGTTCTCCAGCCCCAGAATTTGACAAATGTCCCAACCACACATTGAGTCTTATATAATGAATTGTCAAGGATATCAATGATCCTCCTCGGTAAAAAGGGTATTCACGGTCTAGAACAAGGTAAAGATAGAATGTAGTCTGTTTTTCATTTATTTGGTAGATGTTTGTTGAGCATTTGCTATGTACCAGGAACTGCGCTAGGTGCTACGAATACATAGACAGCATGTATACAGACAGTCCTTGTTCTTACAAAGCTTCGAAGTTAGTTGGGGAGGGATGTATTGTGCAGAGTCACCCAGATATAAAAGTGCAACCAGGAATAGGTGCCGGGTTTATTGTGACATGTGAGCATAAAATAGAGTTATTTGATGTGAATCAGAAAAGGATCCCTTAAGAAGTAACACTTAAGCTGAGAGCTGAAAGATAAACAAAAGTGAACTAGCAGAAAATGGAAAAGAAAAATGCTCAGGGCAAAAGAGGCTAGTATGCAAAGTCCTATGGCAAAGTTGAGGGACATTCAGAAGGCTAGTGAGGCTGAGGCACAGAAAGAGAGAGGTAGAGGGAGACAGGGAGAGAAAGACAGAAGAGAAGGGGTTAAAAATGTAAGTTTAATTCAGATCAACTTTAGGCTAATTTCCATAACCTCTGTAACACCCAATTTCCTCACCCACATTATTGGACTAATACTTGTACCTAACTCATGGACAGTTGGGTTAGAAATACCATAATAAATGTAGGAATGTTTAGCTTACTGCCTGGGTCACACTAAACGCTCAATAAAATGTTGATAAATAAATAGGCGATGGCCATGACAGACAAAAGGTGAATAATCTAAAAATAGGTCTGAAGATCCTTTGAGATACATCTTATGAGATCAATTTTCCACCAGGATCACAATGTTCCCAATTTAGCAGAATACTCTTAAGGAGAGAGAAAAAAAATAAACAAAACATCTCAAGAGGGTGAGATTGCATGCTCTGGGCAGAAACAATTTTGAATCCTGTGCTTTGTCAACAATGCCCGGCACGTTCGTGGTCTCTCTATAAATTGCAAAGTCTCCGGTCATCATAATAATGCTAGCAATCAACAACCTCACATGCCTAAAAGGTTCTCTGTTTTCTTTTAAATGATGCTGATTGGAAAGCAGGCTCCATCTCTATTTCTAGGAAGTCTATGAAGTCTTTCCCAAGCACAGTTGACAAATTATAGCACAAAACTTGCAGGTTAGAATTAAGGATTTCTGAAAGGAAGTGGCAAACAGTTTTCAGCTTTTCTAAAAGGATTCTAAACATAGCAAGTAAATAACACTTCCAGGTGTCTACCACCCAAGGCTCACACCGTCGTCAAGGAAATGGGTTGCCGCCTTCTTCCTTCAACCAGCAGCTGCCACTTGCTACCTTCATCCCCTCTGAATCCACCACCTCCAAAACATACATGGACAATTAAGAGCATTCAGGACAGGGAGGCTCCTCCCTGCCTCTACAAGTCACCTTCATTCCAAAAACACTGGGGAGATGCCCTTTTCCTTGTCCTCTACCCAGCTCATTCTCAGCAAGCTAGTCTAAAGCAGAATTATGAAGCAGGAATGATTCGACCCTGCTGTCTTTGCGCCTCTCGTTTCAGGGACTCCTGTTGTCTTGTGGGTACTCCGCTACTCGGGTACTCTTTAAAGTAGTGGGTAATGGTCTTCCCTACCCCAATCTGAAGCGCTGTTTTCAGAGATGTTCTGTACAATTTGAGGGTTAAGAAATAGGCATCAGGATATGAACTGGCATCCCATGTAGACAACGTTATGATTTTTTTTTTTTTTTTCGAGACATGGTCTTGCTCTGTCACCCAGGCTGGCAGGATCACAACTCACCGAAGCCTCAACTGGACTGCAGCCCACCTTCCCAGGATCCTCCTACCTCAGCCTCCCGAGTAGCTGGGACTACAGGAGTGCACCACCACACCTTGCTCATTTTTGTATTTTTGGTAGAGACAGGATTTCCACCATGTTGCCCAGGCTGGCCTTGAACTCCTGAGCTCAAGCAATTCACCCACCTCAGCCTCCCAAAGTGCTGGGATTTACAGGCGTGAGCCACCGCACCTGGCCAATATTATGATTATTACCATTCGGTGTCTACCTTGTTTCAGACACCATTTACTGCTTAATTCTTAAAACAAAATTCTCATCCTAAAATTTAGATATCATTATTCTTATCATAACGATAAGGAAATTGAGGCCAAGAGAAGTTGAATAATTTACTCAAAAGCAAACATAAACTTTCTTACTATTTTACAAATTGAATTTTGAAATATAGCAAGTTTAAAAAAAATAGGACATTGTAAAATAGCCAAATTAGTATTTATTTAGTGGAAACTTTTTGACTGTAAAATCCAAACTGTGATGATTTTAAAACTTGTCCACAAATGCTTTGTCATGTGTACCACCAAGAGATGGTATCCATGTCAACTACTCTTGAATCTTAGCCAATTTCAGTAACTCTCTTATTACCAAATAGAATGCAATGGAAGTGACATTGCTTACCTTTCAAGAGTAGGTCATGAAAAGCAAAGCAATCCTGGGGTACAGCTTGATGATTAAGAAATAGGCATCAGGTCACTGGGATACTTGCATCTGAAGCCCTAAGTCTCCATGTAAGAGGACTGACTACCATAAGGAAGCCATGCCATAACAAAGCCCAGTATGGGTCTTGCCATACGGAAAGACCCATATGGTGGTCCAGTAGACAGTCAATTAAGCTCTCAGCTGAACTGGGATCAATTGGCATTAAATGTCAACCAAATAATGGAAGGGAGCAATCTTAAATGTCCAGACCAATTGAGGTTTCAGATAATTGCAACCCCAGCCAACTTCTGACTGCAACCATACAAGAGACACCAGGAAAGAACTGCCCTGATGACTTATTTCCAAATGCCTGACCACCAAAATGTGAGAAAAATAAAATGGCTGTTTCAAGCCACTGAGATCAGGATAATTTCTTACCAGCAATAGTGACTAGAATGCAAACCAATCTCAATAGGAGATCAATAAAAAGCATTGAAAATCTTGTTTCTAAAAACTGAATTTGGAATGCATGACAGTGAAAAAGAAAAAAATCTATACCAAGCATTTAAACTGCAAAATCTCTCAAAGATTTTAGTGAGTTTCTCTCTTACTCAGGTGTTTCTACAAAAAATTACATGATAGAGAATAGAGAAACATCAGACTTGGAGGTGGTAAATCCAGTTCTAATCCTAATTTTTCCATAATGATTTTAGAGAAGCCATTTACTTTCCCTGGACCCCACTTGCTTTCCTCATGTTTCAATTAAGAAAATAAGAAGACACGATTTTTCAGGCTCCTTCCAGTTCCATAACCTAATGATGTTCTGTGATGTCAAACTGGAGTCAATAGGAGATCTTCATGCTTAACGTATAATAATAATAAAATTTAAAAAAAAAGAAGCCAACTTTCCATTTTTGACAGTGTGGCAGACTCTGAAGATGAAGAATGAGAGAGAAAGTGGTAGTGTATGTTCATCTGCTGGAAACATGCCCAGGAGTCTCAGAGGACAGGTGTGCCCTCAGAAAACTCAGGTAGGGCACGAAGCTCTTCTAAAGGTGTCCCTCATGCTCCAGTATAGAGTGAGACATATAAAAGAGGCCAGTGTGGACTTCAGTTCAAGATCCCTGCCCTTTCCCCTACCCACACGACTGCTGACCTTTGTTAACTTAAGACGGCACCATGACATTTTAAAAGAACAGCTCTACAGTTGGCATATTTCCCAAGAAGGAGTAATTTTTTCCCTTTCAATTCACATATGTTAGCCAGGAGTCTCTGGGGTGTAAAGGTATCCCAGCATTCATCCTCCCATTCCACAATTTTAAATTTATGCCTTTCTGTCCACCCCACACGCTCTCTCTCAAAACCTCCACTGTGTTAACTATCTTCTCAAAAGAATCTATCAACGAGTTACTTCACCCTAATGCAGGCTTTCTCAAGCTCAGCACTATTGGTATTTTGGGGCAGATAATTATTTTTTTAATGGGAAAGAGGGAGCCGTCCCATATATTGCAAGATGTTTAGCAGTATTCCTGGTCTCTACCCGCTAGAGACAAGTAGCATAACCACCCCACCACTCTCAGCCCCAGTTGTGACAACCAAAAATATCTACAGATGTTGCAAAATACAAACTTGGCCCTGGTTGAGAACCACCACACAAATGCATTAATTACTCATACCTATGTAACATACTATTCCTCCCGGTAAACCTAATGGGGATAATGAAATAAATCAAAGGAATAAAAATCTCCCTGTTTCAGGGATCATTTAAAGCCAAGTCAGGGAGATGCTTTAGGGCTTGGAGCTTTATGGAGCCTCCCACAAATCATTCCTCCAAGACAATTGCCTACCTTCCATTTTCACTCAAAGCCAGGACTAGATTTTTCTGAATCAGATACAAGACCAGTCAGATTCCTATACACACAAACGCACACACACAGAGGGTTAAGTGACAACGTAGTTAAATTTAGCAAGTTTCATTCTATAGATATATCCAGCATCTGCTCAACTATTTGAAAATAAATCAATAACCAGGAATTAAATTGAGGGTGTGGCTTTGATCTAGAATGAGACATTATATTCATTTTTGAATGACTATTAATTCATATTCCCACTACAGTATTTGGTTCTGTTATATTGAAAGAAAGCATCCACCACATTCCAGGCGATAAAGACTAAGATTTTCTGTTCGTTTTATTGTCAGTGTTCTCCCCAATTTATCCATGATTGGCTTCATTATTGGAAGCACTGTGTTAATATAATTGGGAGATATTTATTAGGTAGCCACTTCAGGTCAAGAACTGGAGATGCGGTTGTAAATAGGTCAGTAAGGTCTCTGTTCTCACAGATATCTCACCCTAGGAAGTATCTGCTCAACTAATGTTTCAGGTATGGTAAGATTAATAGCTATAATTGTCATATACCCCAGTTCCCTTCATTCTGCTACATAAGTACAGATTAATTCCCCAGATCTAGTAAATGAGTTCATTTGGCCAAAGAAAAAGAGATAAAGAAAGGGAACATAGGTAAGTTAGCATAACTTACATACAAACTTCTTGCCTCCATTAATAAAATAACGCGCAAACACTGTAAGGTTGAACTGGGGTGGAAGGAACGAGGTGTCACCATGCGAGGTGGGGCGCCTGTATCTCAGGGACTGATTCTCTGCGCCTGGTGATCCAGCTTCCTCCCAAGTTGCTCATACGGTAAGTTAGAACCAAGACATAAACTTTGCACATATCTCCAGAATTCCAAGTTTTACCATGACATGTAATGTGGTTTGGCTGTGTCCCCACCCAAATCTCACCTTGAATTGTAGTAATCCCCACCTGTCAAGGGCAGGGCCAGGTGGAGATCATTGAATCATGGGGGTGGTTTCCCCCATACTGTTCTTGTGGTAGTGAATAACTCTCGTGAGATCTGATGCCTTGATAAATGGGAGTTCCCCTGCACAAGCTCTCTTGCCTGCCGCCTTTCCTTCTCCTTTGCCTTCTGCCATGAGTGTGAAGACTCCCCAGCCATGTGGAACTGTGAGTCCATTAATCCTCTTTCCTTTATAAATTACCCAGTCTCAAGTATGTCTTTATTAGCAGCATGAGAACAGACTAATACAACATGAGACTAATTGGTAAATAGACAAGTTTGTAAGGTATACAGGTGAGTTAAGATAATGTTACCCACTAAAACAACCACCCCCCAAAAAAACATATGAATGGCCCAATCAAAAAAGAGGGTTTTTAAAAATTCATAGAAGGTCCTAAAGAGATATTCTTAATTGATGGGCAGGGCTTCTCTAAGTGGTTATTCAATAACCCAGTTACTCCTCTCTTGTGGCTTTCCTTTTCTCATGTACCCTCCAAGATCAACATGTTCATCTGCCTTAAGCTAACTGAAAAAAAATACAGAGGACCTCTCACAGGAGGGTTTTATGTGACAGGTCTGAAAGTGGCACATGTCATTTCCAACCCCATCTCATTTATCAAAACTCAGTCACATGTTCACACATAACTGCAAGGGAGGATGGAACTTGTAGCCCAGCTGTTGTGTTAAAAGAAGAAGAAGAAATGGCTCTGGAAGATAGATAGCTTGGCTCCGCCATAATAGAATTTTCTCCTTTTCCACTTAGGGTTTCCCAAGAGGTATGATTTCCCACGTGCCCTCGGCCACGTGGCCTGCTTTTGGTGGATGCCATCTTTCCCTTGCTACCTGGGATCACCTTCCATTGTGTCCATACTCACCACACTATAGGCCAAAGTAATCAAGATCCACAGACACTGGATTTCCTATCCTGCAACAGAAGGCAATTTTCCAAGTTCTTATTTCTATAGGAGGACCCACGTCATTTATAAAAGATTGACTCTGATATTGATTACACTTTTTGGGATGAGCCAAACCTTTAATCTCAATAATAAACACAATGTTATATATGAAAAGAAAACTCAAACAATAACAAGAAGAGTCAGTAAATCATACAACCTATGTCCACGGTTGAAAACACAAAGCCCTTATACTTCTGAGTGAATTACTTCATAAACATAATCATCAACAGCTAAGGTCAAACATACCAAGGATCAGAGAGTAAGTATTCCTGTAGTTTTCCCCCTTGTTTGAAGGCCAGATTACTGGGGACTACAGCTTTAAGTTTCTATGAAGAGAGATTACCCATCCTGTCTGTATAGTGTAGCCTCCTCATCTCATGAGGCACATCTCAGAAGTATTTAAGCCATATCATGAGCTCATTGGACCAGCTGGTCCACACAAGCACCTCTAAAGGACTTCAACTGTGATTTTCATCCCAGCAAATCTCATCTTCAAAGCAGAATGTTTCCCACCAAATATATCCAGGAATCTCAGTGCTATGTGGCCAGCTGCAATGAAAATTTGTTGCAAGATTTGGTGTATCAATTATAACCACAGCGCAACAACTAAACAGGAAGCAGTTTGGAAGAAAATTAGGCATCCTATTTATCTTTCCCTATGCCCTAGGTCTTCATTTCCAAAGAATCAAATGTATTTTTTATCTGTATCTCTATTATAAATCCCACTAACCCCTTCTTCAGTGAAAGAATATATTCAAAATTTTATCATCACTAGGTAATAAGTATGGATAAGAGTATATGGATAATGTCATAAAACATTCTCCTAGAGAGGTCTCATTTCTCATCAACAGGATCTTGTGCTTGAAGCACTGTTCAATTCATATAGACTCTACCATCTATTTATGAATATTCTGTATATCTCTTTGGAAATATAAACATTCCATCCTGGAGCAACAAAGACCCACAGATGTCACCCTAGAATTCTGCCAAGGACACTGCACCTGCTTCAGATGGATTCTTGGTTGTCAATAATTTTATACCAGGTTCTTCAGTCTTTACCAGATTATATTTCATGAAGTAGAGGAAGCAGGTAAGAGTAAACTGTTTTTATGTGAAAATAAGGCTGAATAGAAACTGATGACATTTCATCTTTCTTATAGTTCACACCCCAAAAACAGAGGATTCCAGAAAATCAATGTCAGCAGGCGTGGTTATAAAATTAATTAGTTAAGAGGGTAAATAAATGGGAAAGATAATAGAAAAAAAATAGCTTCCAAGGATGAAGGTGGTAGTTCCACTATGGATCAAGTCTTCAACGATCAAAGATTACAACAGGACACCGAGAAGAAAATAGTCTATTAAAAGCCATGAATGTTTGGCAATTAGCCAGTTGAGTCACAATTTTCATAGGTCATAAAAGCATCTGCAGCTGTGTAGGATCACATAACCCATAAAGAGGACATCAGGCTTCTCTTCTCTAATTGCCAGGGCTGAATTCCAAAAACTAAGGAGATATTCAATGATCTCTTAGTTCAATGCTCCCACTTAAGGAATACAAATTTGTTTCATGCCTGTTTTCCGGAATTCCACTTTATGTTGAATTATCAAGTAAATGTCATGATGATAGAAGTTGTTTTTGACTTTGATCCTTTCCATGAATCTGGGACACATGGCTGGGACACTAATATGCAGAGATCCCTGCCTAGGTTGAAGAGGGATGAGTTTTAAATTATTGATTGAAAGTCACCAGGACATACAGTCATAGAGAGTTGTGGCTTCCCTCATAAGCAGTCACTTGACAGAATGTCCATTGTCTGTCCTTCTATATATCCATTAATCAATTGTTTATTAAGACTATTAGATGTTCATCAATACATTTAGCCATGGATGAAGGGGACTCAGAGGATGCCAGCAGAATGGGAGTTCTCAACGCAGCTGCAAAACAAGCCAAAAAGGACACAGAAATATTGACAAGTTACCGTGATCAAGTGCAAACTGAATTCAGTGAATGAGAATGGTTAACGGAAGTTGAGAGAGAGGTATGAGAGAAAGGGAAAGTCTAGTCACGAAAGGCTTCATCATGGAAATAAGATTAATAGTGATGGACAGTGAGGAAGTGGAGGGTCTTTCCAAATAGAGGCAACAGTTATCTTGGTTAACCATGGCTATCACAGGGTGGAAACCTCTTTCAAAAACCTTATTGATTATTTCTGACTCTGTCTTAAGTTTTGGCTCCCATTTTCTTCAAGGAAGTCAACCAATCATGTAAAGTAAGCACACATTCACCATGACTGAAAACCAAAGTTCTTTACTCTCACAAAGTGGATGTGGGTTGGCTAGACAAGCACAAGCAGAGAGCCCCTCATGAATCAGAGATGCTGCAAAGCCATTATTGCACTTGGAGAGATATTTGAACAACTTAATTCTAAAACCCCTTTTTATTAATTCCTCCCCAAAATAAAGTCTACCATTCTAACATCAATCAGCTTTATGCCCATTTACTGAGAGTAATTATAATTGTGCCCTGCCATTATATAGACTGTTGCGAGCGACTGTATACATAATTACATAATTAGGTTAAGCATTACAACCTTCTTCTGTTTGTCAGACTCTATGGTGAATTGTCAAGCAGTTGATAATGAATGGCTACTCTAACCATTTACTCTTAAGAATTACATCCAAAATCTGGTGTTTGAGCCAACAATCAAAAATGTAGACTCTCTTTGTGAGGAACATGCTGATTTGCTTAAAACCACCTGATGGGTCAGTATCAGAGGCATGAACCAAGTCCCTTAAGGAAACAGAAGAGAAATCTGCGTGGAGAGAAAAAATCTTTAAAATATTTTTAATAAACTTTTTAATTTAGAATAATTTTAGATTGAAGGAAAAGTTACAAAGGTAGCACAAAGAGTTTCTTTATAACCTGTTGTGTTATTGTCAACATCTTATAATAGCATGATACATTTGTCAAAACTAAAAAACTGACATTGGTACATTATTGATTTTTTTGGTATTTTGTTTTTTGGGATTTTTGGGGGTTTTCTTTGTTTTTTTTTTTTTTTTTTGAGACAGAGTCTCACTCTGGTGCCCAGGCTGTAGTGCAGTGGTGCAATCTCAGCTCACTGCAACCTCTGCCTCCTGGGTTCAAGCAATTCTCCTGCCTCAGCCTCCTGAGTAGCTGGGACTACAGGCACCTGCCACCATGCCCCGCTACATTTTGTATTTTCAGTAGAGATGGGATTGCACCATGTTGGCCAGGCTGGTCTTGAACTCCTGGCCTCAAGTGATCTGCCTGCCTCGGCCTCCCAAAGTGCTAGGATTCTAAGTGTGAGCCACTGCACCCCGCCTGGTACATTATCGTTAACTAAACTCTGGACTTTACTAGATTTCACCAGGTTCACTAATGTCCTCGTTCCATTCCAATATCCCACCCAGTTACCATGTTGCATATGGTTGTCATCTCTCCCGAGTCTCCTCTGGTCTGTGGCGGTTTCTCAGTCTTCCTTTGTGGATAAAAAAGAGTCAAACACTGCAAAATATTTGAAGGGATTTACTCTGAACCAAATACAAGTGAACAGTGGCCCATGACATAGCCCCAGGAGATCCTGAGAACATGTGCTCAAGGTGGTCAGGCTACAGCTTGGTTTTATACCCTTTAGGGAGACATAAGACATCAATCAATACATGTAAGATATACATTGGTTTGGTCCAGAAAGGTGAGACAACTAGAAGCAGGGGCTTCCAGGTCATAGGCGGATTCAAACATTTTTTGATTGGCAATTTATTGGAAGAGTTATTATCTAAAAGCCCGGGATCAATAGAAAGGAATGACTTAGTTAAGACAAAGGGGTCCCGGGGTGGGCGTGGTATCTCACGCCTATAATCCCAGCATTTTGAGAGGCCGAGGCAGGCGGATCACCTCAGGTCAGGAGTTCAAGAGCAGCCTGGCCAACATGGTAAAACCCCATATCTACTAAAAACACAAAAATTAGCTGGGCATGGTGGCAAGCACCTGTAATCCCAGCTACTCAGGAGGCTGAGGCAGGAGAATTGCTTGAACCTGGGAGGCAGAGGTTGCAGTGAGCTGAGATTGTGCCACTGCACTCCAGTGTGGGCAACAGAGCAAGACTCTGTCTCAAAACGACAACAACAAAAAAAAGACAAAGGGGTTCTGGAGACCAGGGTTTTCTCATGCAGACAAAACCTCTATGCAGCAGGCTTCAGATCTCTTATCAGAGCTAATAAGGTGCCCGACTCTTAGTTAATTCTCTCCTGGAGCAGGGAAAAGATCTAGAAAGGAATAGAGATTCTCTATAGAATGCAGATTTTCCCCACAACCGACAGCTTTGCTGGACCATTTCAAGATATGTCAAATACATATATTTTGGGGTAAAATACTTTGATTTCTTTCAGGGCCTGCTATCTGTTATGTGATGCTATACTAGAGTCAGGCTGGAATTTGGTGTCTTATTGCTATGAAAAGTCTGCTTTGTCAGTCTTAAGAGCTCTGTTTTAATGTTAATGCTGGTCAGCTGTGCCTGAATTCCAAAGGGAGGAGGGTATAATGAGACATGTTCAACTCCCACTTCCCATCATGGCCTGAACTAGTCTTTCAGATTAACTTTGGAAGGCTCTTGGCCAAGAGGAAGGGTCCACTCAGTTGGTTAAGGGGCTTAAAATTTCACTTTTGGTTTACACCTTTTTTTCACAACCTTGACAGTATTGAGGAGTAGTGAAAACGTAACCTGTAGAATGGCCCCCAGTTGGGTTAGTCTGATTTTTTTTAATTAGATGAGGATTATGGATCTTCAGAGGTCCTTTCTGTTATATATCCAGGGTCAGTGATAAACACATGATGTAGCTGATGATGTCTTCACTTGGTTTATCACTTAAGTGATGCATGCCATGTTTCTGCACTGTGACATTATTTTTGCTTTCCATACTGTTTCTTGGAAGCCAGTCACTATGTCTAGCCCACACTTGAGAAGAAGGAGTAGAATTAAGCACTATCTCTTGGAGGGGCAGTATCTATACATATTCTTTAAATCCTTGAAGTTTGAAGGAGAATCACATTTCATTCCATCAGCTTTCACGGGAATATCTACATTCTCCTCCTTCCTATTTTCCATGATCACATATGCCCATTACTCCGTTTGCAACAGGACCCTGTACAACACTCAATCTGTCAGAACCTCCTGTGACCATGTCGGGAAATGGACAATATCCTGTTGCTCCAATGACTATTTTCCATCAGCAGTAGATTCTGGCTGCTGAGAGGTGAAGGGGAAGAAACTTGGAGACAGTTCCTTGGAGGGAGAGCGCACATTCAAACGCAAATGTGTGTAGTAATTAGGTATGATGGGCTGTAATTTTCCGACTTCCTTGTGCAAAGCAAATTGCTTTCTGAGTTGAAATGTTCTCTGGCTTTCTTTCCCTTAAGTTTGGCCTTGTATGAAAGTCCTCCTTTTCAAAAAGCCAAATTTGTTTCATTTTATCTTATAACTAATTTAATGCTAATTGCACAATGACTACATTAGGCAACACTGAACTATACCACACTGTGGAACGAAAATTCATCTGTCAACCTGAAAAGCCTAAGTAAACCTAAGAGTGTGTTCAAAGATTAACCTCTGAGAGGCTGCCTTTCAGGATTATGCTGGTTGAGACAGGGCTACAGAATGCTAGGCCTTCTGGCTCTCAACACAGCAGACACTTTTAGAAACGTGGGTTCCTCTTAGAATCCATGAGGATTCTCCAAATGAATCAGAAACTCAGACTTCAGTTCTTTAATATGACTATTGTCGAGTACATGAATCACCCCTACAACTTGCAAATGAAGAAGTTTCTAATCTTTTTGGTTTTTAAAATACATCCAGGGACAAGGAACTTAGCATCTCCCAAAGTAGCAAGCACCACTGTTTGAAACTCTAATCTTAAATAAGGTCCCTCTTAGACCTATTTCTTTGTGATTTTTACATTTACATATTTGCCTAATCTCTATTTAAAGGGGATGATTAAATTCATTTTAAAAATAACCCACATTGGTGTATATTTTTGGCACAGAAAAATATCTGGGAAAGTAGATATTAATAGTTGTTATTCTTAATAGTAAAATGACAAATTATTTTTGCTTATTCAATTTTCAATTGTTCTAAAATGACCATAGACCCTTTCTATAATAAAAAATGATAAAAGTGGGCCAGGCACAGCGGTTCACACCTGTAATCCCAGAACTTTGGGAGATTGAGGCGGGCAGATCACCTGAGGTCAGGAGTTCGAGACCAGCCTGGCCAACATGGCGAAATCCTGTCTCTACTAAAAAATATAAAAATTAGGCAGGCATGGTGGCACATGCCTGTAGTCCAAGCTACTCAGGAGGTTGAGGCAGGAGAATCACTTGAACCTAGGAGGCAGAGGTTGCAGTGAGTTGAGATCATGCCACTGCACTCCAGCCTAGGCAACAGAGCGGGACTCCATCTTAAAAAAAAAAAAAATCCATAAAAGCAAACAAGAACTTAAAGGGAAAAGGAGAGGGAAGTAGGCAGTAGGAAATACATGAGCCCAAAAGTTTCTTTTATCCTTGGGGCAGAAACCAGAAACACATTTATTATGCCAAAGGGGTATTTCTAGAGAAATTAATACTCTTGTCTTATATTTTACTCATTTTTGCATTGAACCAAAATACCTTTATTGAGAACCAAAAATGTGCCAAGAGTTCTGCTAGTCACTAGGGATCCACAATTAGTGAGAAACAATTTGTGCCAGTGGCACAATGGTGGAGACAGACACACAAACAGAAAAGCGCAGGCTGTTGTGCAGTGGAGGTGGTTCACAGCCACTGCATCTACCCATGCACCTTGTGCTCTTCTCCATGGGGCCAGGTCTAAGAGGGCACATCTACCATCACAATCAGTATTGATTTGCATGCTTAATACAATTTTTTAGCATTTGACAAAGTGTCTCCAGGAGGGGACACCATCTTTTCACTGACAGACAAGTACACTGTAGGTTAATGGGCATCCTGGAGACAGGCTCACTGAGTACTATGGGAACATTAGGAGTGACTTAGCTTTGCATTAAGAGCAAGGAGAGTGTTGCAAAGACAAGGCTGGGGAGAGAATACTGGAACTTTGCCTTAAAGCCAATAGGTGTTCATCTATCAAGTAAAAAAGGCAAAAGAACATTGCAACATATCTTACAGCCCCAAGTACATGCAGGAGAAAGCAAAAGATGACCTGGGAAGGCAGGATGGGGAGTTTAGATTTTAATGGGGAGTTTAGATTTTATCCTATAGGCAATGGCAGCCTCTATATTTGAGGCTTTGTTTCTTGTGTTCAGTATATCGAATGAATAATGAGTACTTGAATGAATGAGTAGATGAATGAGTGCGAGAATGAATGAATAATGTGTACATGAATGAATGGAAATCGAGTTAGTTTGTAAATAGTTAACAGACATTTAGATTTGATGCTAAGAACAGATTATGGACAAATTCTTTTCTTCCTTGGCTTTCTTCAGGCACCACTCGAATCTTTCTACTTTTGTCCCTTGTGGGGAGCCATCCACAAGGATAGAATTAAAAGTGATGTGTGGCAAACTATGCAGCTACTAGGACCCCACAACCAGGAGATACTTGCAGTCTGCACAGTCATACTGGACAACTTTTATCTACTAGTTTCCACATACAGACAAACGTGCAAATACATACACACACACACACACACACACACACACACACAAACTACTTTTCTGAGATATGCTCTTCCATTTTTATACCACCTAGCCATTGTGGGGTCCATCATGTTCCTATAGTTTTAACCTCCCCACTGGCCCCAGTTGATGGGTCCGGGGGGGCAGATCATTTAAGCTGGGCCAATCAGTCCACTTATCACGACTATTGAATCTGGTGTCTCTTCAGGTGCCTTGACTGTGTCCTGCTGAACTCAGCAACCGTTGGCAGTATTTGCAGGATGTGGGGATAGTTGAGAGAGGAGCCAGAAGAAGCCCATCAGTAGCAAGAAGGAAAAGTGAACTGAGGTGTGCCAAAAAAAAAAAGCAAAGACAAAAATCTGCAGGAGTCCTACCTACACTTAAGCACTGGTTCCAGTTCACTCAGGAGACACAGACTCACTTTAGTGTCTGATGAGAAACCTTTGCATCTCTGTGATAAATTCTCTTTTATATGTAAACTGAAATTGAATTATATTAGCTTTACTAAACCCAGAGTGTGGTTTAAGTTGAGTTGGTTGAAATTCAGAAGTAGGCTTTAGTTACTTGCAACCAAATGAGTCCTAATCAAGCCAATAATCTAGAGAAAGGAGCAAGCACTTTGGACCCTGTGGGTTTAAATGTTGGTATTGACACTTACTAGCTATGCACCCCTTGTGTGCCCTCTCAGAGACTCTCAGAGTATTACATAATACTCACCCACAATTTTGCTGTGGCAGCTTGAAATCATGTCTGTAAAGTTCCTGGTACCCTGTCTGGTAAGCAGTGGATGCTACATAAATGGGAGTTGCTATTATTATGCTTATGCCAAGAGACACTTTTTCGCACAATAGACGAGAAATTGACAGGCTCATGGTTAATTATTAGTACAAATTTGCCTGCTAGTCCCACCACCCCACCCCACCCAAAAAAAGCTTTAGCTAAGCCTCCTTACCCTTGTTTGACTGCATTATAAACAGAATCCAAGAGAAGAACTCCTATTTCCTGCCCCATCACCTCCCTTAATGGCTGAGCCTCCAGGAAAGCATTCTTATTTATTATGAATGTAACAAAAAGACACTGGGTTCTAGATTTTTATGAGCATATTTTTAACCTCTGCACCTGCTCTCCAATGCTGTACTCAAACAGAAGCTCCTAGAGCAACCAAATAAAGGAAATTTAAGATGCAACTTCTCATTGCCTTTTTTTTTTTTGAAGTGTAATTATAATGTTGTCATTGGTGCTGATTCGCAGAGGGCCAACAGTGTACGTGGTGCTGCAGAGTTCTTGCAAAGACAGCATTTTGTGAGCATAAACAGAGGGGAGACGTGTCTTGAATACAATTAATTTTGTTCTTTGAAATCCTACCTGCCAATTTGGACTTTTAATAATTTTATTCTCATTCTCCTCTGCCAGCCTTTACTCCAGAGAGAAGCAAAGGGAGAAAGACAAGATGAACTAGGGCTCCCCAGCACCTCAAATGAGAGTTTGCTTTTAAAGCCCTTGGCAGCACCTTTAAAAATGGAACTGAGTCCACCTGGGAAAAGGTGAGGGCCATCTCTTGAAAGAGAGATTTTCTGAGTAGAAACATTATATTGACACCCAGGAGAACGGTAACAATGTCAGTGTAACAAGAAATTCAGAGATAGCAGTTTAATGTGACAGCACAAACACTGGAATAAGCAGAGACTTTTCAAATCAAGAAGATACCAAACTAAGATCCGCAGAGCAAGTCTTGACAGTTATTCTTCTTGTGCCAGAAGCTCACTAATGGAGTTACACATAACCTTTCTAAACTACAGATTCCCGCACCAATCCAAATCACCAAATCACAGGTCCTGGGGTTGGATTTCAGGCATGTGAATTTGTTAAAACCATGATGTTCTTCTATCATCTCTAATTACATTAAGCTTAGTTGTTGTTGTTACTTTTTCTGTGAAAACCCAGAAAAAGAAAAAATATGAAGGATGACGTGTCCCATTTGATGATCAGGAGGGAAACTTTTGATTAAAACAGGTCAAGAAGAGTTTTGAATACCTCTTGTGCACACGTGAAGTGTTAATCATTGCACATTATACATTGCTTGATATGCACTAAAAACACATTCTGAGCCTTGGTTTCCTCATCTGTGAAATAGAGATAATTCTTACTTTGGAGTCTTTAGTGAGAATTAAATGAGATAATTGTGTAAAGTATCTAGGTCATAGAAGTTACAAAACTTGCTCAACACAATAGTCACACAGGGAAAATTGGAAATTACAGGTAGGTCAATCAGATGCCAAATAGACCTCATTTTAGGCTTTATTCCTTACACACTCAGACTTCTTCTGAAAAACAAATTCTCAAATACTGAGAAATAAAGGGAAAAAAAAGTTGGTCAGGAGAGCAGACTGCCGGTTTCTCCCCATTTTCCTTAGTAACAGACCAATTTTAGCGGGGATTCCCAGCAGCCATCCCAGAGCCCGGGGTGTTCTCAAGGCAGGTAATCATGCATCACATCAGGATGGAGGGAAACCAGAGCCATGAGTGTGGACCCCCAGAACACTCACCTCCAGATTTCTTTATGTAAAAAGGAATAAAATAGTGATTTTAGTTCCCATGAGCCATAGCCAAATCTAATTCTAATGAATACAATCACACAGGAAAACTCTTCAACAAGACTTTGATGATGACCATTGATAGATCACTAAGCAACTGGCCTAAGTAACACGAAAACATGTTAAAAAAAAAAAAAAAGAAAAGAAAAGAAAGGTGTTTCTGAGGCCAGATGAAGAAAGATGCTTGGTTACCAACTGTATTAGGGTTGTCTTGAGAATCAGAACCAGTGAGAGAGATTTATTGTGATAATTGGCTCATGTAATTATGGAGGTGAGAAGTCCCATGACCTGTCATCTGCAACCTAGAGAACCCAATAGAATTCAGTCTAAGTCCAAAGTTCTAAGAACCAGGGAAGCTGACTGTGTAACTCCTAGTTGAGTGTGAAGACCTGAGGTATCAGGGGTAGGGGTTGCTCTGCTTGTGTAAGTCCCATAGTGTGAAGGCCAGAGAACCAAGAGATGGTCAAGAAGAGAGAGTAAGTGTCCAATGTCCCAGCTCAAGAAGAGAGAGTAAGTTCATCATTCCTCTGTCTTTGTGTTGTATTCGGGCCCACAACAGATTAGACTATGCCCACCCACAATGATGAAAGTGGATCTTCTCTACTCAGCCTACTGAACCAATGCTCATCTCTCCCAGAAACACCCTGCCAGAAATAATGCTTTACCAGCTACCTGGGCATCCCTTAGCCCACTCAAGCTGACACATTAGCCATCACATCAACAAAGTAATTGGAAAAAAACAAACACATAATCCTTCAGCTTTAGCACTAGAGAGAACTAAGATTCAAACCCAGCTCTAATACTTTACTGGCTGTGTAATCCTAAGCAAGTTATTTTAATCTTTCTGAGCCTTACATTTTTGTTCTCGATTGGTTGGTTGGTTGTGTTTTGCTGTAGCTGAAATCACCTAGAGCAATACTCACAAAACAGAGTTGAGATGAATTTTAAATTAAATGAGAGAACAAATGCAAATAACATAGCACAATGGCACTCAATAAATTCTAGGTTCCCTGCCTATTTTAGTGATACAGTCAATTTTATTATTGTTCTCAATTATTTACTTTCCTTCCTATAAGAGAATTTTAGTTGGAAAAGTGACATGATCTGACTTAAATACCAACCTCATGTATAGGATGACATGACTGAAATCTTCTGAGAGAGAAATGAGCCCTACTAATAATTATAACAGGAGAGTAGGTATAAAGCAGAGCTGTCCCAGAAGGCTGAAATGTTTGGTCATCCTGGAGAGATGAGTCTGGAGTTTCATGGAAAAGTCAGGACCAGAGATATAGCTGGGGCATCATTGCCCTTAACATACACATGGTATGTGACTGAGGAAGATGCCCTAGGAAAGTACACAGAGAAGAGAAGAAAGAGAACCCGAGAGATAGCCTTGAGCTTTCCAGTGCTGACAAGTCAGACAGAAAATGAGGCACCAATGAGAAGACTGAAGAGGAGCAGTAGTCCTCATCCCAGAGCACCAGATGTTGGAAGGTGACTAAGCGGTATCTGGGAGTAAGTATAAATAATTCTGAGCATTTCACTACCTCCGGCCTTTACAAAAATCACAATATTGTCATTCAAAGGCCCTTCTTTTCAAACAACAGTGATCACAATGATATTTCTGATATGTTCTTCTAAGTTACAGAGAACAGATAATTTTTTTTCTTAAGAAAAAGAAAGAAAGAAATAGCCAATAAAGTAAAGATTTGCCAGGAAATGCACATCGTGCTATGTTTATACTCTAGCACAACCTAGTGGTACTGCTTTTTACCAGGCAGGTCTAGACTAGAATAAAGTGGATGTTGCTGTCAAAATTTCATCTTCACAGTCACAATCCACCACTGTGACTTTATGGTACTCCCCTGCATCATGGGACTGGAAGCAAGATGGATGTCACAATGCTACCTAGATGGCTCAAACATCCTTCAAGAGGGATATTTTTAGGAAAACAAAAGTGGTCTCATTGTGTCATTTTGAGATCCCAGTAGCTATTTTTTAGCAGTCAAGATATTACCTCAGGTCTTCCTTACTTGAGGTGCCAGGCAGTGTTTATCCATAACCCAGTGGTGAACAGTTAGCACCACTAGCAGCCACAATTTTTTCAGCCCTTTTCACATGAGAGCCTATCATGAAGTTCAATAAAGACATTCTAACAAAAGAGTCAAATTCACTGACAGCTCAGGCTACTCTGACAGTGAATCTCATCAGAACGAGGCTCCAAGTGAATTCACTGAGAAACAGACTTGTAGCGTTGGACCTCAGCATCTCGTTATAGGATACGAATTGTCCCATGCATGCAAACAGTTCTGAAGTGGGCAAGCATGGTGTGGGTTGTCATTTGCACCAAGCTCAGCTAGCATACAGTTGTTTTATCGGCCACATTCTGCTATGTGGAACCCTTAAGCCAGCAAGGCCTACAACTTCAACAGGATTCATATGCATGGAATTGTGACATCGGTGAAAAAAAGACCCTTCCTGGAATCTCCCAAACTTCTTTTTGTTTTAGAGGTTAAAATCTTGGAAAGGGACTCCCATCATGGAAGTACAATATCTACATCATATTGATATTGAGTCAGCATTTGGGCCATAAGGAGCTAAGTTCCTATTGTTTTTCACAAATGCAGGGCGCTCTAGGAGTCCCACTAGATCTGCAACAGAGAATGTCTTCTGCAGACAGGCACACACAAGCAGACCAGAGTAGAAGACGCAGGCCACCTCCCACAAGTTCAGTTGGAAGTGACACCTCTGAGTTCTTCCTTCTGGACTCCTTGCCAAGGCAGAGTGCAGACTCACCTCCCCCAAGGGTCCAAGGCTGAAGACACAGAGCCACTATCAAATAGCCAGTTGCAGATTTTAAATATAACATCATCTTAATATTTCAAATGGGAAAATGGCAAACATGTTATATATAAAGAGTCCCTTAATTGGATTGTTCAACAAGACTAGAAACAGCTATTGGATTTCCATTTCAGACAAGTTTATAAATAATTTCTATTTGTTAAGCCTCAGTTATTAACAAATATAGTCTTTGAAATGTCACTGGTAACTCACATATTTTATTTCAAGTGTAGTTAATGACTTATGTGTAGAATGCTCTTAATTGTTTTTTAGCTCCACAGTAATTATCAGTATTTTCAAAGAACCAATATAACACACAGCATCTTATAAGCAAATATTACCAATCTTTCCTTTGGGGCATGGAGAATAAGCACTGTAAATTTGGGTCATTTTTCTTAGACTACCTAGCAAGTTTGAGGAAGGGCTAGAAAGCTCAAACTTGCCTAGTAGTAAAACGGTACTATTGGGAAGTGGCATTCCCTATTTGTTCACTTCGCATAGTGAGCACCTGTGATGGACAAGTGACTATGTTAGGTGTGGCATGGCATTATAGAAAAAGAAGAAACTTTCCTTGCCTTTTAGAAGCTTAAAACCTAGGATGGGGAATGGTAATGCAGCTACTCAAATAGCTCGACTGAAAGGCAGGTGAAAGAGGTGAAAGGTGGGCCGGGTGCAGTGGCTCACACCTGTAATCCCAGCACTTTGGGAGGCCAAGGCAGGTGGACCACCTGAAGTCAGGAGTTCGAGACCAGCCTGGCCAACATGGTGAAACCCCATCTCTACTAAAAATACAAAAGAGCCGGGCATGGTGGTGGGCACCTGTAATCCTAGCTACTCGGGAGGCTGAGGCAGGAGAATTGCTTGAACCCAGGAGGCAGAGGTTGCAGTGAGCCAAGATCGTGCCACTGCACTCCAGCCTGGGCAACAGAGTAAGACTCAGTCTCCAAAAAAAAAAAAAAAAAGAAAGAAAGAAAAAGAAAGAAAGAAAGAAAGAAAAGAAAAGAAAAGAAAAGAAAAGAAAAGAAAAGAAAAGAAAAAGAAAAAGAAAAAATAAAGAGGTGAACGGTACTGAACAGAAACTAAGAAGGCTGAGAGCCAACTCTGAGGTAACAGCTAGGAGCTGAAGCAGGAAAGCTAAAATCTGCCCCAGTCCCATTGCTGATAGACTCACCATTTACTAACAGAGAAACCATTCCTCCTTTTAGATCATTTCTTCATTTTTCCAGTGGAAGGCATGTTTTTGAAGAGTGAGAACAAAAGACAATGCTTTTAAAAATCTGACCCTAGTGTTTTAAGGGGAATTTTCCTAAAGTAAAACTTTCCCTTACCCAAAAGAAATAAACAGGCAATTTACAAAAGTAGAAATTCAAATAGCTAATAGGCTTATTTTAAAAAAAAAATCAGTTACATTAGTAATCAAAGAAATGCAAATTAAAATGAATTACCATCTTTCTCCTCTCAAATGGGAAGAGATTTAAAAGCCTGATAAAAATCCAGCCCTGGTGAGGGTGAGAAGAAATAGGCATTCTCCTACACTGCTGAAGAGAGTGTAAATTGCTACATCTTTCCTGGATTGGCGATTTAGAAATACTTAATCAAAAGCCTTTAAAATGTACAGACCCTTTGACCCAACAATTTTACTGCAGTTATTCCCAAGGGATGGAGACAAACATCTTATTTGCGAAGATCCTCATCACTTCATCACTGTTGCTAATCGTGAAAAATTGAAAACACTCTAAATGTCTAACGTTAAATAAATTGCCATAATACAATGGAACAATGTTCAATCATTGATAATAATGTTGTTGTAGGACATTTTTATTAATGTGAGAAGATATTCATGTTATAGTGTTAAATACACAAAAATGTATGTGTAGCATGTCGTTTTTTGTTTAAACATGCATATAAACGGATAAATGCAAAGAACAAGATGTGGAATGACAAACGCCCATACATCGTTATCAGCCTTTCTATCAATGCAGAGCTCCCCAGCCTTTTTGACACCAGGGACTAGTTTTGTGGAAGACAATTTTTTCATGACAGGGTGGGTGTGGGGTGGTAGTTGTGGGTTGATTGAAGTACATTACATTTATTGTGTACTTTATTTTCTATTATTATATTATAATATATAATGAAATAATTATACAACTCCCCATAATGTAGAATCAGTGGGAGCCCTGAGCTTGTTTTCCTGCAACTAGACATCTCCATCTGGGGTCGTTGGGGAACAGTGACAGATCATCAGGCATTAGATTCTCATAAGGAGAGAGCAACGTAGACCCCTCACAGGCGCAGTTCACGACAGGGCTCGTGCTCCTATGAGAATCTAATGCCACTGCTGATCTGACAGGAGGCAGAGTTTAGGCAGTAATGAGAGAGATAGGGAGTGGTTGTAAATACAGATGAAGCTTTGCTTACTTGCCTACTGCTCACCTCCTGCTGTGTGGCCTGGTTCCTAACATGGTCTTGTTCCTACCAGTCTGTGGCCCGGGGGTTGGAGACCCCTGTATCAGTGGACGGTCTCTATTTGTCAGCAGTTCCATGTTAACAAGTAAGAGCATGCCTTTTGATACTACACAAGTGTTTTCCCCAACTTGTTCTCCCAGGAAACTTCTACTGGGTCTTCAAAATGTAATTCAAATTGTCACTTCTTTTCCAAATACCTCTATCCCACTCATACCAAAGCAGCAGGCCAAGGGAAACAGCCATGAGGCTTCAGCTTCAACAACAGTTGTTCCTTGCCTGTGTGTCAGCCTCTGTGCTTGGAAAGCCAAAAACTCTCCCCATCTCTACCTTGACACCCAAATTCCAAAATAGATACAAACATTCAGAAGAAGAAATTTCCTCTCTGGTCACTCTCCTAGCAGCTGAATTTATTCTACGTAACAGACACACATACACCAGAATCTTGGCTATTCCCAGGACTTCCTTAAAGCAGCATTCAAAGTACATACTGCCCAAGCAGAACTAGTCACTACCCACCTTTCTCCCATTCCCAGTCCATCCATCAAAGGAGAGAAATCAAAGGCCAAGAGGTAAAGAGAGAAGGTCATGGAATCCTCCCAAACTTACAGTCTGACTTCTAGGGACCTCAAAAACAGGAGACGCTCAGGACCAACCGGGGCATTGGCCTGAGCCCAGCTGCCTCCAGGCAATTCTCCTCCTGCCCTGATGGCTTTCAAAAGAGAAATGCCTGGGTAAGTCATTCAGACAGCTCAGTTCACTCCTCATGCCTTGCTTCTGGGAGAATAAAAGATAGGCCTGTCACATTAGTAATTGTAGCAATACTGGGTGGCACAGAGCTTTCATAGCTTGGCTGTATTGGGAAAACTCGGGATTTGTTTACTAAACAAACCTCTGCTGGAGGAGAAAGGGAGGGAGGGATGGTATTTAATGCAGGAACAACTATTTCCTCTGGCTCTTCCCCATCTGCCCTGACACTGCTAGGCTCGTTCAGAAACTGTTCACCGAATCAACCATTGTTGTGGGTATCAGGAACATTACACATCCCCTAATTTGAACTTCTCACTTCAAAGATGGGAAATCCAGGTCCATAAAAAATAAAATGATTAACCTTAGGTCACACAGCTAGTTCTTGAGCAAACTGGTGGCCCAATTCTACTAGAGTTGGCCCTTGGACAGCATGGGTATGAACTGTGCTGGTCCACTCATACATGGATTTTCTTCCCCCTCTGCCACCCCTGAGACAGCAAGACCAACCCCGCCTCTTCCTTCTCCTTCTCGACCTACTCAAAGTAAAGATGAGGATGAAGACCCTTAAGATGATCCACTCCCACTTAATGAATAGTAAATATATTTTTCTTTCTTATGATTTTTAATAACACTTTGTTTTCTCTAACTTACTTTATTGTAAGAATACACTATACGATACATATAACATACAAAATATGTATTAATCCACTGTTTACATTATCAGTAAGGCTTCCAGTCAACAATAGGCTACTAGAATTTAAGTTTGGGGCAGCCAAAACTTATACATGGATTTTCTACTGCACAGGGGTCAGTGCCCCTAACCCCAACGTTGTTTAAGGGTCAACTGTAATTTTCTCCTCAATGCTATTTGTCACTACCAGAGGTAGAGTTACCATAAATCTTACGCAGCTAAAGCTTTGGAGTCCCTCACTTGCATGGGATTCTTTCAATACCTGACGGGGTCCCAGTCATGTGTTTACATAGACATATGATTTTGTACCACTAGCAAGAGGAAGGTATTTTAACTACAATTAAGATTCCTGTTCGGGTGGCTTTGGAGTTGAGTTGAGGATCTATTTAGCTTGGGTTTAGCGGAATTTATTTGTATGATTTGCAGAAACTTTTGTGGATAGCTAAGTTACTGCTAGCCATCTGATTATAGCAATGGCTTCCAGGAGCATCACGACCTGTGCAGACTCCCCAGCATCATAACAGGAAGGTCCCACGATCACGAGCACATTGCCTTCAGCATCCAGCACTGAATGTGAGTCATGGAGGAGAAACGTGGCATGCAATGGACAGAGCTGGAATCTGCTTTATAAAATGCTCTTTCAAAACTCACAGTTCTTAAAAGAAGTTTGATAGAAGTTTTCTCAAATCTGACAATAATCCCAAATGTTTACTTGATATTACCCCAAAAAACAAATTGTGGAGCTGAAAGAAATTTTTCTTTAATTGTCAGTAGTAAAAAACAAATTTTGATCAACCATGCTACAGAAGAGGTTGAATTATCCTTATTTTCTCTATAGAAAATGGTATTATATAAAATGTCATATGAATAGAGCAATCAAAGAAAATTCAGCCAGAAAAGATATGAGAAAAAAGGATTATAAAGCAATGCCAGGAAGTCAATTTTAAAACACATTATTTTTCTGATTTTGTGAAGCTTGTGGTATTTGTCAGCTTTTTAAAAATCATTGCTTTCTAAAAGTTCTTATTCCAGATAAGTATCCTCATTCATACTTAATTTTGTATTTGTAGTTTTGTATTATTCTCCTTAAAGAGAGATCCAAAGTTGCATAAGCTTCAGGCCCCCCAGAACCTAGATCTACCCCTGGTTATTATTATTGTAGTACTGTATTTTACATTAATAGTAATATTTAATGAGTACCTACCAAGTATACCAAGGAGTTGTAGTAGATATACTAACTCCTTTCATTTTATACTTTCAGGCAACCAATATCCATTTTACAGCTAGAGATGTTTAATCAAAAAAGAGAAGGACCTTAAATATGATAGATATTCTCACTTCAACATGCTCCCCTTCCTTGATTTTGTTTGTTTGATTGTTTGTTTGTTTGAGATGGAGTCTTGCTCTGTTGCCCAGGTTGGAGAGCAGTGGCGCGATCTTGGCTCACTGCAACCTCCACCTCCCGGGTTCAAGTGATTCTCCTGCCTCAGCCTCCCAAGTAGCTGGGACTACAGGTGCATGCCACCACGCCTGGCTAATTTTTGTATTTTTAGTAGAGACAGGCTTTCACCATGTTGGCCAGGATGGCTTCGATCTCTTGACCTCGTGATCCGCCCGTCTCGGCCTCCCAAAGTGCTGGGATTATAGGCATGAGCCACTGCGCCTGGCCATGCTCCCGCTCCTTGTTAGCTATAGATCTTGGAGCATTTTCCAGTCATCTCTCTTGACCTCAATTTATTTGCATTTTACAAGAAGAGAAACTGGAGCACCTAAACGTATCCACTTGAAATTAATAGTGAGCTTCTGAGCCCCTGACTTCCTAGGTTAAGGATGCACCAATGTCCTGGGACTACAGGAGGTATTTGTAGGGTGCACTCTAATCTCCTATATTCTGGCATACTAAATTATTCCTCAATGATTAGTCTAGCCTATACCTTTATGTCTTTAAGCAGTAAAGCTATAGCTGTATCTATCTATTTATCTATTTATATAAATAGTTTGAAGAGAAATTCCCCATGCCCTTAAACAGAAGACACTCAAAATCATCTCACCTTTCTCAGTGAGAATGAATGTTTATTGCTGCAAAAATTACTATTATGCTCAACCTGTTCTATGTGAAGTATGTAAACTTAAATCTCTCCTCAAGAGAGCTGCTATTCCTTGCTTTTGTCAAAGAAGCATCTTTAGTATCTTCCCCTTATTTTAATTTGCTGGTTGCAGCGAGATAATTGGCTTGCAAGTTAGATCAAAAGGTTTAATTGTATGTAAAATAGGGTTGTAAGGCAGCCCTGATTATGGTAGCATGAGGCTCTCCTCACATGGTGTACAGATTTTATAGCATGACATCCATCTGGGCTCTCCCTATGCATGAATTGGTTGTTGTCTTGGTTCTTACTCTATTTTAAGAGAGCTGATCTTCCTATAAAAAATGAGGTACTACTATGCAAGACACAAATTGGAACCCATATGGATGCACCAGGCTTTGAGAAGCTCTCTGAGAGGGCAAAATAGCAGCCAGTCTGTTCCTAGAGATCCCTGTTTTCCAATCCATGAACCTCTTGAATCATGTCTGCCATTCTTCCTCCTCCCGTTTCTCGCCTCACTGAGCCCTACCCAACAACAGAAAAACCCAGAACACTGTTAAATGTGAGTACAAATGTTTATCCTCCCATCCCCACTGATGAATTCTAGATGGTGAATTGCACTCTGAAGAGCTTCCTAAGCTTGTAAGAAAGTGATTCTGAAAAGCTCAACATTTTGGTAGAATGGAGAGATTTGACATTGCTTCTGCTCCAAAAGCAAAAGACTTGGGTGAGTATTCATCAAGCACCTAGGGCATGCCAAGACTGTGTAAGCATATTCACAAACTACATCTCCTTTCATCTTCACAGCAGGTAGGTATCATTTTCCTCATTTTATAGATGAGGACACTAAGGTTTAAAGAAGCTAGATAACTTGCCTAAGAGCACATAGTTTATATGCAGTAGAACCTAGATTGCAACTCAGCTCTCTCCAAAGCTAAAGCCAATTTCTGGCCACTACATATGAAAATTAAGTTCTAAAATCTTTAGCTCTGCTGCAGAAGAAATAAGAACAGAACAGAAACCATGGAGGATCACAGTTGTTTGTGAAATTCTCCTGTTTCACATTGTCCTGTGGTCGCCCATGAACTTGTAAACCACAGGATGCCATATTCATCTTCCATGGATCTTGGTGTGCATACATCAGCTTGCTGGATGATTTTGTGCCCTGAATGTTTCCCACAGTATGTTCTGTTTTTAATCTACTTTAATTGGTCTCCTTCTCCCCTTTGTGAATTATAATACTCTTCTCCTCCAGGCGTGTGTCACTCATATAGTTCAACAATCCCTCCAGCCTCAGGAATACATCAAAGCAAATAACATTGATCACTGCCAGTTGGTTCTCAGGGCTCCACAGCACACTGCCAGCAGGGAGTTAGGAGATGGCTCTGGAGAGAAAATGTTTGTCCTGAGATCCACTAGCCTGATCTTTCTATGAGCAACTCCAAGAACTAGCAAGTACAGCATCTCTGTCTCTATCTCTCTTAGAGAAATTATTATCTAGACAAAATTATACTGTGCTATCTGGTATTGTGCCATTTTAAGTTTCAGCCCAGATCAGTAAAATGGATAAATGACTGATTGAATCGAGTGGGGTTCTCAACTTTGGCACTGTTGACATTTTGGACTGGGGATGAAGGAAGTGTTCTGTCCATTTTAAGACAATCAGCAGAGTAGGACGCTAAGTGTCGCAAGATGTTTAGTCAGTAGCATCCCTCGCCATTATGAAAACCAAAATTGTCTCTAGACATTGCCAAACATCCCCTGGGGGCAAAATTGCCCTGGAACAGCCACTGGAATTGAGTGAAAAGAACAAGTATTATCTGAAAATCAGATGGAGGTTTTATCTCATTAGGACTCAAGGTAGGTCTAAAAATCTTCTGCATTATATCAACCCTCCTTCTCCATGCTCCCCCAGAATATCATGCATGAAAATTGCTTTGATCATAGGTACAGTGGGTACATCCAAATGCATTTTGTTCTAGGTAATGGGGAATTTAGCATTCCTGAAAGGAATTCTAGGGATCACATCTTACAAAGACCAAGCACATATAATGTAAGCACCACATTTACTACCCTGTTATCTGTATATCCAACCACTTGACAAATACAACAGCATACTAGGTTATATCATACCAGAGAGGTTGCCCACACATCAGATGGAACACACATTTACTTGCACATTACTAGTCATAAAAATTCTGTCCCTGTGCCATTTGCAGAATTAAATAACCACATGGGAGCAAAACATTTAGAAGCAAAGACAAAAGTGATTTTTCAGATGTGATTGGAAGAAACAAAGGGCTGAGTTATCAGGTCACTCTAGAAATACTAGTGTAATTCCAGATATTCCATGTAACTTGTAAGGCACACCAAATAAAACTGCATGTGTAAAACTAACTCAGTTTCACAGACCTTGTTAAATTGACCACAAAGTCTGTACACCAAGAAAAGATTCAAAGAGTTACAAAAAGAACTGTGATTGGGTTGGCCTAGAAGAGAATAGAAGACACTTATTTGTGTAATCAAACCTGGGCTTTGTAACTGAGGGATCTATTAACCACATAGAGGTTGTATTCAAAGATGTTTGGCCCTGCCCTGTGACCCGGAAAATAGAAAAAGGGCTGAGTAAAGGCCTCTCTTTCCTGCTGTTCTCCTCTTCTTTCCCCTCACCTTCTTCCTTCTCAACCATTTAGCTGATGGTTGTCATCTTATCACTGTTTATTTATTGACATCAATTGGTTTTATGATAGAGGCCAAGAAGCCTCCTGGTCCAAATTCCTCAGGGATATTCAGAACACAGATCTAACTAAATTAGTGATGGTGGCCCCGCTAACATGAGTTTGTGCCTTTACTAGCCCCAGGTAAGGTAATTTGTATATGTCTTTCTAATTTACTTATTACTACTGATATAAATTGGTACTTACATAGAATTCAGTCATCCTCTGGTTACTTAGCTTAGGTGACTGCAGCAAGAGATGTCCAGAGTCTCAACATTGGGTGATTGAAGAGCAGAAAGACTGGCATGAAATATCTGTCAACATAGCTCAACAAGGAATCAGGAAGAGAGAGTCTTCAAGATGGCTGACTAGAGGCATCTGGTACTTGCCTCCTCCACAAAGAAGAACCAAAATAGCAAGTATATTATTACACTTCGAATAGATCATCTAAGAAAGAACACTGGAATTCAACCAAGAAGTGGCAATAAATACCTAAGGCAAGGAAGGAGAGGGAAATCAGGCATCTTTCTCAGCCAGGATCACCTGGGATCCTGGAGAGGCTCCCCAATGCAGGGAAGGGTAGGCAAGGGGCTCCCAGTGGTCCACATTCTCACCATGGACTCCTGCAACCCTAGCCATGGGAAAGCCCCTTGACCATTGTGGGCCCTGAAACTAACATAGGTAGCTACCTAGAGATCGTACACTGGCATTACTCCAGAGAGGGAGCTCGCACTGGGTCCCACAACCACCCCCACAAGTCCTAAGAAGCTACAGGAAGATGCTATTTTGAGAGCCCAGCCCTCACCAGACTGCATCCTGCTGTAAGGCCCAACAGCCCCTGTATCTCCACATTCTGGGAGCCCCACGGGCATCCCTAAGCTTTAGCCATCACCACTGCTGGCTGCTGCCTCCAGGGCAAAAGCACAAGCCATTGGCAACAAGCCTGCCACTCCCAGTAGGACCTCTGTGCGTTTTCATGTGCCCTGAGAGAAGACTCCCCCACATACAGCCATTGCCACTACTGGCTGCTGCACCCAGGGCCAAAGCACAAGCCACTGGCAGCAACCCTGCCACCTCAGCAGCAGAGCCACTGTGCACTTACAAGTGACCTGAGGACAGGCTACCCTACCTGCAGCCATCAACTGGGGTGAAAGCATATACTCCCCAGCTGCCTGTCTATGGCTGCTGCCACTAAAAGCAACCCACCCAACAGCAGGGCCATGACACAGCCACTGCTGTCCTCACCCAAACATTCCACTGGGACCCTAGGGATCACCCCATCCCTGCCTACCACACCAGCACCTGTATGCACTACCAGAGGGCCAGAGGACACACCCACCTGGCCCATCTTTATCCTCCCCAATACCAAAATGTGTTATCTGGGAGCCTTGGGTTCACCCTGCCCCATTTACCACCATTGGCACCTGAGCACTCCTCTCATGGGATTGAGGACAGTCCCACTCAATCTGCAGCTACCAGCACAGCGGGCACCCACCTGCATGCACCACCTGTGTGCCTCAAGACTGGCCCTCCTCACCCATCACAGCTGCTGCCAATACCAGCACAGGCCACTTGGGAGCTAGAGGGTTGTCCTGCTATGGCTACTGCCATTACTCATGCCATGCCCACTGTCCAGGGTCCTAAGGACCCACCCATCCACCTGGCCCATTGCTGTCATTGCTTGCATCTGAGCAAGTCAGCAAGCCACCTGGCGACCCAAGAACCAAATTGCCTAGAATAGCTAACACCAACGCCAGCATATGCCACCCTGAGGACCAAGGAAAGGCATGCTCAGCCTGCAACTGCCTTCACTGGGGCCTGAGGATTGGACTGTCTGGTGTTTTCATCCCCAGCAAAACTTCACCACAGCCTCCACTAACAACTGCAACCTAAGTCACTGAGAAAATCACAGACACCACTAACACTGTTTACAGGTGAAGAAATTACATGGAGACTATACTACTGCACACACCCAGAAGCAAAGCCAAAGTGTCCTAGCTAACCAACACCATTGGTATGTCTTCAGGAAAAAGCCCTCCCCTACAAAAGCAAATCCAAAAAAAATGGGAGAAGTGACTGCTTTACCAGATGCGCAGATATCAACATAAGGACAAACGAAACATGAAAAAGCAAGGAAACACGACACCTCCAAAAAAAGATAATAATTCTCTAGCAACAGATTACAATAAAAAGGAAATTTACAAAATCCCAGAAAAAGAATTCAACATATTGATATTAAAGAAGCTCAGTGATTTTTCAAATGTACAATTAAATTATTTTTTACTATAATTCACCCTGTTATGCTACAGAACACAGATGAACAATACAAATATATCACAAAAACAATTCAGGATATAAATGACAAATTTACCAAAAAGATAGATATAATTAAAGAGAACCAAACAGAAATCCTGGAAATGAATAATTTATTAAATGAATAAAAAATACTTCAACAATAGACAGCTAGAACAGAAGAAACAATTTCAGTGCTTGAAAACAGGTCTTTGGAAAAAAACCCAAAGATAAAAATGAAGAAAAAAGAATGAACAAACCCTACATGACATATGAGACACCTTAAAGTGGCCAAATATTTAAATATTCAGTGTCCCAGAAGGCAATATTAAAATAGAAAGACAATAGAAAAATAGAAAGACAATAGAAAAATGGAAAACCTATTTAACAAAATAGTGGCTGAAAAATCCCTAACTCTAGTTAGAGTTTTAGACATCCAGATACAGAAAGCTTAGAGATCCCCAAATAGATACAATTCAAAAACATCTTCTCCACAGCACATTTTAGTCAGACTGTCAAAAGTCAAAAACAAAAAGAGAATTCTAAAAACCTCAAGAGAAAAGTGTCTAGTCACTTATGAGGGAACCTCTATTAGACTAACAGGGAATTTCTCAACAGAAACCTTACAGGCCAGGAGAAAATGAGATGATATATTAAAAGTGCTGGTGGGGCGGGAATATTATGCAAGAATACTATACACAGCAAAGTTATCCTTCATAAATGAAGGAGAAATAAAGTCTTTCCAAGACAAGCAAAAGCTGAGAAAAGGTATCACCACTAGACTGACTCTGCAAGAAATGCTTAAGGGAGTCCTACAACTGGAAATGAAAGAACAGTATCTACCATCATGAAAACATGTGAAAGTATAAAACTCACTGGCAGAGCAAACACACAAATAAAGAAGAGAAAGGAGCCCTGGTACGGTGACTCATGCCTGTAATCCCAGCAATTGGGGAGGCCGAGGTGAGCGGGTCACTTGAGGTCAGGAGTTTGAGATCAGCCTGGCCAATGTGGCAAAACCCCATCGCTACTAAAAATGCAAAAATAAGCTGGGCATGCTGGTGCGTTTCTGTAGTCCCAGCTACTCAGGAGGCTGAGGTGAGCGGATCGCTTGAACCTGGGAGGCGGAGGTTGCAGTGAGCTGAGATCACACCACTGCACTCCAGCCTGGGCAAGAGAGCAAGACTCCATCTCAATTAAAAAAAAAAAAAAGAGAGAGAGAGAGAAAGGATTCAAATGTTACTGCGACAGAAAACCACCAAACCACAATGATTAACAATGTGAGAGAAAGAAAGGAACAAAGGTTTCTTCATCTATACAAAACAACCAGAAGTAAATTCATAAAATGACAGGAATAAGCCCTCACATATCAATAACAATCTTGAATATAAATGCATTAAGTTTTCATTTAAAAGATATAGACTGAAATAATGAATTTTTAGAAAACACTGAACTATATGCTGCCTACTAGAAATTCATCTCACCTGTAAAGAAACATATAGGTGAAAGTCAGGGGATAGAAAAATATATTCCACATGAACAGAATCAAAAGCAAACAGCAGTAGCTATACTTATAGCAGATAAAACAGATTATAAGTCAAAAACTAAAAAAAAAAAAAAAGACAAATGTCATTACACAATGATAAAGGAATTAGTTGAACAAGAGGACATAACAATTGTAAACATAACTGCACTCAACACCAGAGCACAAAGATTTATAAAGCAAATAGTATCAAATATAAAAGAACAGGTAGATTCTAATATAATAATAGTTGGGGACTTCAGCACCCAACTCTCACCATTAGGCAGATCATCAAGACAGAAAATTAACAACAACAAAAAAAAAAACCATTGGATTTAAGCTACGTATTAGACCAAATTAGAACTAACAGACATTTACAGACCATTTCATTCACAAGTTACAGAATATACTTTCTTCTCATTGGCACATGAACCATTCTCCAGGATAGACCAAATGTTAGGACGACAACAAGACTCAACAATTATAAAATTAAAATTATATCAAGTATCTTCTCGGACTACAATAAAATAAAACTAAAAATCAATAACAAACGAACTTTGGAAACTGTACAAATATATAGAAATTAAACGTGATCCTGATTGACTATTAACTCAAGGAAGAAATTAAGGAGGAAATAAAAAAATTTCTTGAAACAAAGGAAAATTGAAACCCAATATACCAAAATCTATTGCACACAGCAAAAGTTGTGCTAAAAGTTTATAGCAATAAATGCCTACATCAAAAAAGCAGAAAAACTTCAAATAAACATTCTAACAATGCACATGAAACAACTAGAAAAGCAAGAGCAGAACGAACCCAGAATGAGTAGAAGGAAATGACTAATAAAGATCAGAACAGAGATAAATGAAATACTGACTAAAAAATAATACTAAGGGTCAACAAAATGAAAATTTCATTTTTTGAAAGATAAGTAAAATCGACAAACTGCTAGATAGACTAACCAAATAAAAGAGGAAAGACCCAAATGAACAAAATCAGAAACAACAACAACAACAAAAAAGCTATTACAACTGATACCACAGAAATACGAAGATCATCAGAGACTATTATGAAGAACTATGCAGCAAGAAACTGAAGAAGCTAGAGAAAAGGGATAAATTCCTGGACACATACAACTTACCAAGATTGAACTAGGAAGAAATAGAAGACCTGAATAGACCAATAATGAGTAATGAGATTAAATCAGTAATAATAATAAAAAAAAAGTCTCCCATCAAAAGACGGGAGACTGGGTTTTTCTTTCTCCCATCAAAGAAAAACCCAGGACTGGATGGCTTCACTGCTGAATTCTACCAAACTAACAACACGAGTTCTTCTCAAACTATTCCAAAAAATTGAAGAGGTGAGAATTCTCCCTAATTCATTCTACAAGGTCAGCATTACCCTGATACTAAAACCTGACAAAGACTCAACAGAAAAAGAACACTGCATGCCAACATTCCAGAAGAACAGAGACACAAAAATAAAATGCTAGCTTACTAAATCTAACATGCATCATAAAAAGAATAAGCCATGGTCAAGTGGGATTTATACCAGGGATACAAGAATGGTTCAACATACACAATTCAATAACTGTCATATATCGCATCTTTAGAAAGAAGGATAAAAGCCATCTGACAATCCCAATACCTGCTGAAAAAGCATTTGATAAAATTCAACATTCCTTCATGATTAAAAAAAAAACCTCTCAAAAAATTAAACATAGAAGAAACACTTCAACTTAATAAAAGCCATATATCAGAAACCCACAGTTAACATCATATCCAAAAAGGAAAAACTGAAATCCCTTCTTCTAAGAACTGAACAAGACAAGATGCCCATTTTTGCCACCCTTATTCAACATAGTACTGAAAGTACTAGGCAATCTGGCATGAGAAAAAAATAAAAGGCATCTAATTGGAACCAGGCATGATGGCTCACACCTGTAATCCCAGCATGTTGGGAAGCCAAGGCAGGCAGATCACCTGAGGTCAGGAGTTCAAGACCAGCCTGACCAACATGGTGAAACCCTATCTCTACTAAAAATACAAAAATTAGCCTCATGTGGGATGCTGAGGCAGGAGAATCGCTTGAACCTGGGAGGCGGAGGTTGCAGTGAGCCAAGATCGCACCACTGCACTCCAGCCTGGGCAACAGAGTGAGACTCTGTTTCAAAAAAAAAAAAAAAAATAGGCATCCACATTGGAAAACAGGAAATCAAATTGTCCTTTGAAAATACCATAATCTTACATGTACAAAAGCCAAAAAACTCCACCAAAAACTTTTCGAGCTGATAAACAATTTCAGTAAAGTGACAGGATACAAAACCAAAACACAAAAAATCGGTAGCATTTTTATACACCAATAACAAAATAACCAATAAAAAACTACATCAAGAAAGCAATCTCACAATAGCTACCAAACATAAAATACTTGGGAATAAATGTAAGGTATTCTTAGTAATTTTTTTTAGTCAGTATTTCATTTATCTCTGTTCTGATTTTTATTAGTTATTTCCTTCTACTCATTCTGGGTTTGTTTTGCTCTTGCTTTTCTCGTTCTTTCAGGTGCATTATCAGAATGTTTATTTGAAGTATTTTCTACTTTTTTGAAGTAGGCATTTATTGCTATAAACTTTTCTCCTAGCACAACTTTTGCTGTGTGCCATAGATTTTGATATGTTGCGTATCAAGGCTTCAAGGAGGTGAAGCATCTCTACAGGGAAAACTACAAAACATTGATGAAGGAAATTGAGGAGGACACTAAAAAATGGAAAGACATCCAATGCTCATGGATCAGAAGAATTAATATTGTTAAAACAACCATACTACCCAAAGCAATCTACAGATTCAATCCAATCCTCATCAAAATACCAATGTTATTTTTCACAGAATTAAAAAAAATCTAAAATTTTTATAGAACCAAAAAAAAGAGCTTGAAGAGTCAAAGCAATCCTAAGCACAAAGAACAAAGCTGGAAGCATTACACTACCTGACTTCTAAATATATTACAAGGTTACAGCAACCAAAACAGCATGGTATTTGTACAAAAACAGATACATAGACCAGTGAAACAGAATAAAGAACCCAGAAATAAATCCACATATTTGCAGCCAACTGATTTTGGACAAAGGTACCAAGAACATACACTGGGGAAAGGACATCCTTTTCAACAAATGGTGGTGGGAAAGCTGAAAATTCATGTGTAGGAGAATGAAAATGGACCCCTATCTCTCAGCATGTATAAAAATCAACTCAAGATGGATTAAAGACTTAAACATAAGACCCAAAACTATAAGACCACTAGAAGAAACCTTAGGGGAGACACTTTAGGACATTGGCCCAAAGCAAAGATTTTATGGCTAAGACCTCAAAAGCACAGGCAACAAAACCAGAAATAGATAAATGGGACTATAGTAAACTAAAAAGCTGCTGTGCAGAAGAGGAAACAATCAACAGAATGAGGAGATAACTTGTTAATCAGGAGAAATATTTGCAAACTATTCATCCAAGAAGGGACTAATATCCAGAATATACAAGGAACTCAATGGCAAAAAAAAAATAAATAGTTTTATTACAAAGTGGGCAAAGGGTTTGAATAAACATTCCTCAAAATAAGACATACAAATGGTCAACAAGTATATGAAAAATTACTCAGCATCACTAAACATCAGGGAAATGCAAATCAAAACTACACTGAGATAATATCTTACCCCAGGAAGAATGGATATTATTAAAAAGACAAAAACTATCAGATGCTAGTGAGGATGCACAGAAAAATTAACTCATATGCATTTGGTGGGAGTGTAAATTAGTACAGCCACTGTGGAAAACAGTATGGAGATTTCTAAAAAAACTAAAAATAGAACTACCATATGATCCAGCAATTCTACCACTGAGTATTTATCCAAAGTAAAGAAAATCTATATATCAAAGAGATACCTGCATCCCCATGTTTATTCACAAGAGCCAAGATAGGGAATCAACTTGAATGTCCATCAGGGAATGAATGGATAAAGAAAATGTGGCATATATACACAATGGCATACTATTCAGCCATAAAAAAGAATGAAATTATGTTATTTGCAGCAACATGGATTGAACCAGAGATTATATTTTGTGAAACAAGCCAGGCACAGAAAGACAAATATTGCATGTTCTCGCTCATACGTGGGAGCTAAAAAAAAAAAAAAAAAGTGGATCTCATGGAAATAGAGATTAGCTTGTTGATTATCAGAGGCTGGGAAGGGTGTGTGGCAGTCAATGTGGAGGAAGAGTAAAGAGAGGTTGATTAATATGTACAAGCATACAGTTAGAAAAATAAGTTCTAGTGTTCAATAGGAGAGTGGGATGACTACAGTTAACAACAATGTATTGTATATTTAAATAGAGCTAGAAGAGAGAACCTGAAATGTTCTCAACATACAGAAACAACAAATACTCAGTGATGGATAGTCCAATTACTCTGACTTGCTCGTTCCACATTCTATATATGTAACAAAATATCACATGTATCCCATAAATATGTAAAAATATGATGTATCAATTCTAAAAATAAACATCAAAAAGAATCAGGAATAGCAATCCCAATAACATTTAGAATACAGCTGAAGTCCTAGAGAAGACTCAAAACTCTGCTCCTGATGGTGACCTACATATGCAGAGGTAATAGAATTCTAGAAGTGAGTCTGCAGGTTTGAGCGTCTCAGTACAGGGTCTGATATCTTCCAGGAAGATCACAAGAAGGACAATGTTTTAGGTCCCTCCTATTAATGCCTAAATGTCCCAAGATAAGTGGGCTAATACCTGGTCAGCATGAAAAAAGATATCTGATTAAGAAACTGGTGATTTCACAAAGAGGGGATCTTAGAGCATTTGACTTCAGATCAGCCACTTCAGAGGAGGGGAAGCTGGGACATAGGGTAGGACTATACTAGGTTACTCAAGGAAGGAGTGTCTATTTTCTATGAAAAGCTCCTTCTTCCAGGGATATTGAAAGAATTGAAGCATTGAATTCTCTTTACTATTCATCATGGCTACATTTCAAATATGGCATGCTCATAATATTAGGAACCTCAGCCAACAAACTTAATTCCTCAAGCTTCTGGATAGCATTTAATTTAATAGATGCATGACCTGAAAAAATTATAATTCATATCTTTTCCCCAATACTCTTCTCACACAAGTAGTGAATCATGGAACAATATAATTTTACCCAAAAGACTGCCTAATCCAGGATTTTTTTGAAAGGTAAAAAACCTCCTACTGAGAGTATATGATCTAGATTTAGCTGCCACAGGAGACACAGCATTAAATATCACTGTATCACATAAAGAAAAATGTTTATTCTCAGTAAAGTGTTTATTCTTCTTTTGGGAAATGTCCGTTCAAGTCTCAGTTATTAGTCTATTTCCAGTACCTCTCCAATATTTGCTAATCTTTTTAGAAAACAGAAAGCAGACCTGAGGCTCAGAGACTGCACAGGAAACAGTATCTAGCTGGATTTAAATAACATTATGTGTTTATATTCCATGTATTTTTGTGGCTACTTCCTGTATGTGCTAAGTGCTACTGCTATACTATGGCTATATAAAAAGTTTCACCTTAAATAATGTTAAGTTAAAATGATTACATTTTTGACATGCAGTTCTAGAAAAAGAAACAAAAAAATTTTAATGTATAAATTTACGGGAATAATGTTAAGTAAACAATAGTTTAGTTGAACCAAAAATATGAAAAAAAATATAAAAGTAGTCTGCAAATGATTAAAGTTTAGGAAAAACTGATCTCTTCACTACCACTTATTTTATAGATGAGGAAATTATTTCCTAGAATGTTACATGGCTTGCCTAAGGTCACATAGCCAATTAATAGCAAAGCCAAGATTTAAGCCCATGTCTCATGATGCTCAGTCTTATCAGTAATCACATGTAGTGGATGCTGGACATGTTCCTCCAAGGTCTCCCCTTCAGAACTGAGGCAATTATCCCCCCAACCACAGAGAGTATTAGTGACCAACAGCTCTCAGCAGTATCTTCTGGGAATTGCTGTAAGGTAAAAAAAAAAAAAAAAAAAAAAAAAAAAGGTATCCAAGGTCATGTGACATTATGATATGGTAAAAAATATATATTTGGTCTTCATCCCCAGTTCCTGGCACGGAAAAATCCTTCTAACTTCCTGAATGATAGGAGTATCTTTTGTTATAATATTTGGTCTTAGTCCCTGGTCCCTGACACAGAGCTTCTAAGACCCTTGGAATCTCCAGAGTGCTAAGAGTGTCTTTTTGTATGCTAATGAGATGGCTGGTGACTGGAGGACCCTAGACAGATTCAGGATGGACTCTGGTTGCCAGAAAGACTAAGACATAGTTGGAGGGTTGGAACTTTCAGCCTCACCTCCCAACCTCCAGGGAAAGGAGAGGGACTGGAGATCAAAGTAACTGCCAAAGGCCAATGAGTCAATCAGTCAGGCCTATGCAATGGAGCCTACATAAAAACCTTAAATGATGGGGTTCAGAGTACTTCCAGGTTGTTGAACACATCCACCTGCTAGTAGGGTGGTGCACCCTAACTTCCTGGGACTAATGTTCCTGCACTCAGGACTTTCCAGACCTCCTCTATGTACCTCTCCATCTGACTATTCATTTTTATCCTCTATCATAAACTGGTAAATGTAAATAAAAGTGCTTTCCTGAGTTCTGGGAGCTGTTCTAGCAAATTATCAAACCTGAAGACGGAGCTGTGGGAACTCCCTGGCTATGAAGCCAATTGGTCGGAAGTTTCAGGTGATTGGCATCTGAAGTAGAAGCAGTCTCATGGGATTAAGCCCTTAACTTGTGAGATCTGATGCTAACTCCAGGTAGTTAGGATCAGAATTGAAGTTAAAGGTAGGATACCCAGGTGGCATCCAGAAAGTTGAAGAGTTGGTTGTTGGTGTGGGAACCACCTCACACATTTGATATCAGAAGTGCTATATTGATACAAACAGATCATAGTAGCCATGTCCCATATCTGGAAGCAGCCTTCATCCAATGACTGGTCAATGATGCAGGGGAGAAGGTGTACAGCCTCAACCCCTTTGCTGTAGGATTAGATGACTGCTGAAGGACCATCTAAGTTCCAGAGCTCGGTGTGGAATCATCTGGAGCCTCTGTTGTGACTACATTGCAGATCAATCTCCCCTCTGCCCAATCCTACTTCCTTCATGATCCCACATGTAGATCCAGGCACTCCCCCAATAAACTTCCTGCATGAAAATCTTTGTCTCAGAATCTGCTTCCCAGGGAAGCTACAAAACATCATTTTTCTTCTCTATTTCAAATTAAATAGAAAGTTATCAAAATACCATGTCATTAAAGAGGACAAGGCAAAAGCAAGTAAATATTAATGTTTTAATTACCTGTGATCAGGTTAGAATATTTAACTCAATGCCAAAGGCTGCTACAAAATTTACATTGTAAGAAATCAAATAGAGTATTATCATAGATAACATATATGAGTTTAGGGAGAGTTTTGGTCGAAAATTAATCACAAGCTTATAAATGAGAGCTTAAACTTTATAGTGTCAATTATAGATTTAGCTCTAATTTTTGAAGTAACGACTGCAAATATAGAGATTCAAATATTTGAACACATATCCACATCAGACAGTAGTTCACATTGTCTGATATTATTTTAAAGAGTATAACATTTTGAAAGAACTTTTGATATAATTTCAAAGATACAATACTAGATTAGAATGTAATCGGAATGTTTCCTCACCTAACAAATTCAACAGACACTTAAAGGCAGTATTTCAGGGAATATAGACTTCAGTAAGATGCTGTTGCTATTGTCATAGAATATTATCAGTATATTGAAGGGCTCTCTCTCATTGTCTCTTTAAATATTGTTGCTGCCTCATTCTCTGCTTCCCTTCCAGAACTCCAATTAAATGTATGTCCAACCTTCTCACTCTGTGTATCTTGCCTGCCCTTCAGCATGTTCAATTATTTTGACTTTCTCTGCTTCCTTCTGTATAGTCTCTTATGACCTGATTTTCAATTCTTTCTTTGGCCAAGTCTAATCTGCAGTTAAACCTATCTATTGAGCTGTTCGTTTTGGTTCTTTTATTTTTTAGTTCAAGAACTTCTACTGATTAATAGTTCCTCTTCAAATCTACTTTATCACTTCTTGTAGATTGTAGTTCACTGTCAAAAATTTCAAACTTAGCTTCTATCTCTTTGACCACAGTAACCAGTTCTCTTACATTCTATGTGCAGTATTTTCAGTTTCTGGGGTACTGGTGGATCTAATTCCATCATGTATTATTTCTTCTGGTGTTTACCCACCCATATTAGCTTATCTCCCTCTAATGCCTGGTTTTTAAATCACTTGTAGAATTAATACAGGGCCTCATATGACATTTTCTTCCACCAATGATGTTTTTAACTTGCAACTAGCAGGTACTTAGGATTTTTAGACAGCTGAGACCACCTTTTCAAGTCTTCAAATTTTCTGGGTCACCCAGAAGAGTTGAAGAATGGCTCTATGTGAAGACTAGCTTGTGTGTGGTTCACTTTAACTTCTAGAGAGCAGTCCTTCAGGTCTCAGCCCTAAAGCAGGGAGTGGATCACTACGGTCTCCATTCTTGGAAAGCTCTATATTGTTCTTGTTATCCTAGATGAGCAAGGTCACCGAATATACAATTCAACCTTCCCAGGCACCTTCCAAAACAGTAAATACTTCCGAAGCTGCTATTATTTGAATGTGTTTCCCAAAAACCATGTGTTAGAAACCTAATCCCCAATGCAATTGTATTAAGGGATAGAACCTATAAGAGATAATTAGGCAATGAGGTTTCTTCTCTCATGAAGGAATTAATGCCATTATTGGAGGAGTAGGTTTATTATCTCGGGAGTGAGTTTCTTAGAAAAGGAGGAATTTGACCCTCTCTTGCTCTCACTCTCCCTCTCTTTGGCTTTCCATCATGTGATGCCTTCTATCACATCATGATGCAGCATGAAGGTCCTGGTCAGATGCCAGCCCCTTGATCTTGGAATTCCCAGGCTCTAGAACTATGAGCCAATAAATTTCCGTTCATTTTAAATTGTCTAGTTTTTGGTACTCTGTTACTGCAGCACAAAATGGACTAAGACTGAGGCAAAAATACCAGAGTTTTGCTCTTTTCCCTGAGTTTCTCACCTCTCTTGACTTCAATCCATTACAAGCTCATTTTATCATTAGAACATTGATTTTTAGAATAAAAATTTTATATTTTATCCACATTTTTTAATTATCTAAAGTTCAGTGGTTGGTCTGAAATATCTAACCTACCATTATTTAAGAGCAGAGGTTCATGGAAGGTTAGAGATCAACTGAGATCCCCCCTCTTTAAAAAATACACTGGGAACATTGCTACTGCTTCATTTGTAATAATGCTTTATAACTATTTGTTCATGTATTTACTCAAACAATCACATGGCATAGGTTCTCAATCTAGTTGTGGACAAATCTTCTGAGATTCAAATGTTTGGTTTAAGTGCATGTGTATGCTTATCTAGGGGGAGAGTTTTTAATTTTCTGGAGACTTTCAAACGTATATGTGATTCTTCATATCTGGGAGGACAAGAACCATGTTATATTTATTTTGAGGTTCTCAATGCCTAGTAAGGGTTTGTTGAATAGATGAAGGACAACTATTTTTATAAGCAAGTAAATCATAGATGATTCAAGAGAGAGGTACAAATGCTTGGGTGCAACTTTGGAGAAGAGAGATATACCACCTAGTTTAGATTGTCAGAAAAGGCTTTTTTTGAAAAGTAACATTTTAGTTGATCCATCAAAGGTACTTATGACTTTCACAAGAACAAATCAAGTATGAAAGATGTCCAAGACCAAGTTGGGATATGGACATAGGAAGAATATTGTGTCCAGTACAGATACATGAGAGATATATAATTGGAAAAAAAATTGTGAGATTTATTTTACTGGAAGTTGCTGTATTATTCTGACCTTTAAGAGCTTCATTCGCTGAGACAAAACCCAAGAAGTGTATACCTGGGAAAACTTAAACCTGATCAAGTGGCTTATTGCCCTGAATTGTTCACAAGTTTTTATGTATATCTATCTGGGAAAAGTGTCTTTAGCTTTCAAAGGGTATCTGTGGGATTAAAAAAGAAAAACAAAAACTTATGACTCACTGCCTTGCAGTGTATGAATTGATAACTTCATAGGCCTAGGCATAACTGCATAGGCAGACAGAAATGCATAGGCATAGCTAAACATGTTACAGCTGCTGAGTGTTCTGATCTTCCCCAAGAGACTTGGAGTCATGATGCTAGTGTGTCCTCAGTTGGTCACCACAGAATAGAGAGGTCAAAGAGCAAAGGGGGTCAAGAGTTACCACAACATTCTGGATCTCTTTCTTCCTGACATCAGACATTAGCATTTGAAAGAATTTCAGTAGGAAAGCGTCTGCTGATAAAATTCTGAAAACCTTTCCACCCACTACTTTCCACTCCCTGGCACAGGGAGGCATTTAATAGACATATGAACAATAACAAGAAAATAATAATATGCCAAAGAAACAGATTATATTGCTAGGCAAATCTCCTAGCACTGATGTCAAGACAGAGAAGATGCTGACCCATAGGATTCAAGTCAACCAGAAAGTCGGTGGCAGTACCCAAAATCAACTTTGGCCTTCCTAAAGCCCAGCCAAGAAACCTATATATGTTAATTTAAATAAATAGGTATATCAGATTTCAAACTTTCAAATGTTATCATTGCAGAGCTCTATTGGGTGGTACAGAAATGAGGCCTTCCAGTAAAAGAAATTTTAAAGCCATAAATGTGTTGACTCTTGGCATAAGCAAGTGAATAGTAGTATGGCAGAGAAGCTCTATGAAAGCAACAAGATATAAGAAAAAGGAAATGATATGGTGTGAAACTCAAACATCATTAAGTATAAGAGTTAGATCATGGGGGAAAAGCTTTGCAGCAAAAATAATCCATTAAAGAAAAGTTTGGTAAATTTCACTATTAAAAAGTGACATATATAATATCAAAAAATAAAGAGCATAAACAAAGTCAAGCCCAAGTGAAATGCTAGAAGAAAACGTACTTCTATTTATTTAAATTATGGTACAACCATGAACTAAAAAATGATATAACTATCACACAAGGTTAAGCTGGCTATATGTCTTGGCATGAAAAATGTTCAAGTACATTGGTATGCAGGAAAAGCAAATTGAATAGCAGTGTGTAAAAATGATAAAGATATAGGTATATAATGATAGAAACATCTCATTGCTATATGTATATAAACATCTAAAAGAATACTTAGCAAGTGCTTACGAAGTTGTCTTAGGAAGTAGAATCTAATAGGGGGATTTTTCCTCCCTATAATTTACATCTACATATTAATTAAATTTTTTTACAAATAGTGAACAGGTATTACCTTTACAGAAAAATATGTTTAGTGGAGAAAGGACAGGTAAAAACAAAAGGGATGCTGTAGACTGGTGAATGGAATGGAATGGAATCTGGAGTCAGACTGCCAGTGTTTAAATTGCGACTGCTACTTAAATACTGCAAGAACTAAAGCAAATACCTGGTGTTCTTTATCTATAAAATGGGGAAAGTAGCCATATATTCCTCATAGGATTGTTGTGAGGTTATGTAAGAGAAGACGGGAAAAATACTTAGGCTATTTCCTGGTACATAGTAAGTACTCGACAAATGTGAGGGGTTCCTGACAAAAACACTTCTTGAATTGTAATGCCCATTTTTCTTCAAATATTATCATCTTAACCTCTTCTGCAGTGCAAAAATTTAGTTGTCATTTGGGGCATTTTTTTTCCTTTAGAACATATTAAGTTGGTGCAATTAAAGTCAAAGGGAAAGTGGGATTTGCTTATAGTGTCCTCTTAATCTAAATATGAAAAGTAAAGGGTATCTGCATTATCCTCAGGACTGGTTGGCTTAATTCTGTCTTTAGAGGGCTGGGATATAGATGCTCTGGGTCGAAACTGTAGGGCATTGAGCTAGCACCGATTGGTGGGATCTGGAGATTAGAAATGTTAACATGCATTGTTTTCGGGGAATTGGTCAGGGGAAGGGTGAGGGGAGAATTCATTGCTGACCATTCATTAGAAAAGCTGCTTTTCTCCAAATCCCCTAGGAAAAGCTTCCTCAGATGCTGTGTCTGTGAAATCTGACCCTGCCTTTAATGTGAAACCTGAAGCTAAAGCTATCCTTATCGCCATATGGCCTCCTGATCAGAATCAGAATGGCTCTCTTGAGCCTCTAGAAAGAACTCTTCTCTAAACCTCCACATCTATTGCTTATATTATTTTATCCCAATCAAGTAAGGACCAGAATTCATGTCAATGCAAGGCCTGCAGACTGGTTGTAGGGTCATTAGCTGGTGGTATTCACCAAGCAGAGGAATGACCCTGGGTTTCCCATAGAACTAACTTCAAATCCACTCACATCAGAACAGTTATAACATGCTGAAACCAGTTTCCAAACCAAGAGAAAGTCAACAGTCACAAGCAAGCAGAGATATAACATGGCATTGGTCTAAAACCATTATTTGCCAAATGTGTTCCATGGATCCCTAATGTCCTATGAAATACTAGTGGGTTTTGCCAAAAAAATTTTTATTTCCAAGATGGTTTCAAAATGACATATATTATGTCTCAAACTTATTAATATACTATGCACATTCATTTTATTAGTCAATCAACAAACATTTATTGAGCACCTACCATGTACCAGACAGTGCTTTAGGTAGTATGGAAAAAGAGTAAGCAAGACAGATAAGATTCCAACCATGATGGAAGAAGAAAAGGAGCACAAAAACAAATATTAGAGAATATGCAGACAAGTAAATGAGAGAGGTGGGGCATACAGTGACCCGGTAGCTAATTGGGCTGTCAGAGAAATCCTCTCTGAGTACAAGGTATTTAAACTGAGAATTGAAAACCATGAGTGTCTTTAAAGATTTTTTAAAAAATGAAGATTCTTTAGTAAAGAAATATAGTAAATTTATCCTGACATTTCAAATCCATCTGTTTCCACAACGCTTTTTGAGTGGCACACCCACTGGCATCCCAGGGAACACTAGTGTTCTTTGGAACCCAGTTTGAGAAGTTCTGGTTTTATCTTGGGATTCTAGTGCTGTTGAATGCAGACCATTATCTGCATAATAGTCCCCCATCACACATAAATGCTGATGAAATAACCTGAAAGCCCACCCCCAGTGGGCTAACGGATACCAGCACTTTCTCCACTGATAGCCAGAAAAGCTGTGGCAGCAGCCGGAGTCTCAGGACTCTGAACTGCATAGTTCAGGTTCTCCAAGACTTGCACCCAGAGGCATGGTTTGATCTGTTGCTTTTACAGGAAGGGCACCCTGGGAGTTGAGAACATCCACCACAGAGAGGTAAGTTCCTACTTGGCAGTTTGCCGCAGCAATTACCACCTCGTGCTCCATCACTACCTTTCCACTCCGTCTCCCACCCTTACACCAGGCTTGTGATTCAAAGGCCTTCAGGCCAGGGGTAACAAACTATGGCCTGTGGGCCAAATCTAACCCACTGACTGTTTTCCAAATAAAGTTCCACTGGAACACAGGCATACCCATTCATTTGCATGTTGTCTACAGCTGCAGTGGCAGGGTTGAGTAGTTGCAACAGGGATCCCCTGTATGGCCTACAAAGCCTGAAAACTTGCCATCTGGCCCTTTGCAGAAAGAATGCTGATCCCTGTTCTGGGCACCTGTTCTGCACCCTTTTGGCCAGTCCTTCCAGCCTGTGGAGACAGCTACTGTCCTTGCTGACTGTGCTAGGTGAGGGTCTCCATCTTTCCCCAGCAGACACTTACACCTGAGGAAATCTATTGACAATCTTCCAAATGCCCTTCCTTTTCCTTAGAGAGTTAATGCACCTGGTGAGGGCACTTCTGCTGGTATGAGATTCCCTCTGCTCAAATTCCAGCTATGCCACTTGTTCACTCTGTGATCAAGGAAAATTCACTAACCTCTCCAATCTTCCATTTTAAAGCTTTAAAATGAGGATAATATTAACTGCCTTAGGATTGTTGCAAAGATTAAATGAGGGCGGGGTGCAGTGGCTCACGCCTGTAATCCCAGCACTTTGGGAGGCTGAGGAGGGCAGATCACTTGAGGTCAGGAGTTCCAGACCAGCTCTGGCCAACATGGTAAAACCCAGCCTCTACTAAAAATACAAAAATTAGCTAGGGATGGTGGTGTGCACCTATAATCCCAGCTACTCAGGAGTCTGAGGCAGGAGAATCGCTTGAATGTGGGAGGCAGAGATTGCAGTGAGCCGAGATCGTGCCACTGCACTCCAGCCTGGGTGAAAGAGCAAGACAATGTCAAAAAAAAAAAAAAAAGCCCATTAAATGAGACAATGCATGTGAAAAACTTTGCATAGCTCCTGACTTGCAGAAGCTGTTTCAGAAATGTTAGTTATTATTTTAGCTATTATGAAAAGGACCAAGAAGAGGGAACTGAACACAAAAGAAATAAATGCTATGAGTAGTCCCTTAATGCAGGGCATCTCAAATCACTTTCAACTAACAAATATGTGTTAAACAAGTTTTGGAGTAATATCCAGTGCTTTCGCTAGCTAATGGTATCTATGTGGCTAATAGATATTTGTTTTGGAGCTACCATTTTTGAAAACCATTTGTTGTTATCTATAAAGCTGAACATAGGTGCACCCTAGCATCCCACAACTTCACCCCTAGATATATACTCAACAGACAGGCATACATTTGTTCACAAAGACATGTACTGGAATGTGCAAAGCAGCACTATTTCATTATAGCCCCAAATTGGAAACTACCCCAAATATCACCAACTCCAGAATGGATAAAGATATTCACACAATGGCATGCTATTGGGCAATCAGAACGAACCATCTACAACAATATATGGCAACATGAAGGAATCGCACAAAGTTAAGCAACTTATATGCACAAATTTAAGCAACTTATTTGCTTAACTTTGTGCGATTCCTCCATGTTACTGTAGGTTACTCCATAGATGTATTCAGTTTGTAAAAAGTTACCAAAAAGCAGAAAGGAGAGAAAAAAGAAAGAAAGGAGGGAGGGAGAGAGGAAGGGAGACATATTGAGCACATACGCTTTGCCATTCTGTTTTCTATCATGCCCTGTTTTATATTCATTCTTTTGTTCCTAGCTCTTGACCTTGAATGCTCCCTTGTCTCATATCATCTTTTTCTCTAACAAGAACCTGATTTGCAGACCTATGGCTTTGAAGGAACCATGCAGTATTTGCTCAGTGAAAAAGCACAGACCCCACAAACCCTCCACTTTCTTTATTTCAGGCCTGGCGTAAAGGAGATGGGACTCACACCCAAGAGGATGCATTTCCATACACCCATTTCTGAAATATGAAGAGGTGTCCAGTCTGTTTGATTCATAGCTGCCTGTTCCACAACTGCAGATACAGTAATTGATAACCGAGACCAAGTTCTCATCCCCATCTCCCAGGGCTGGAACTGGGGCTGTGTTTGGTTCTCATAAGATCAGTTCCAGTTTTAGAAACTGAGTAAATTGTGGAGTAAATATTGCCAAGTGATGGCTTTCTGCTGTAGGCGTGGGTCGCTGTTGGCCATTTGCCTCAGCATATCACCAGCAATGCACCTCATTGCATCACTGCATTTCCAATTACACCTCAAAGCACCACTGGTCCCCTGTCCACCCTCTGCCCTGCAGAGGTGGGTGTTCAGGGAGACAGATCCAAAATCTGGGCTCAGAAGATGGAAATGCCAACTGCTCTCAATTTGAGAGTGGGGATGAGACTTTTTGACTCAACTCTGGTTAATTCAGCCATGCTGTCAGAGCTGCTTTGATGCAAGGACATCTGAATGCTATCTGAATGCTGCCCCTAAAATAACAAATTAAAAACAACAACAACAACAAAAATCAAGTGTTGTAGAACAGTTCTCCTGCCCCAATCCCTGAGCCTCAGTTCATCCCAGCCCTTCCTCCTAGGGTTAGAGAGAGGCTCAGGATGAGCTGAGATACTAGGATGAGGTAAGCGACAGGAGGGGCTGAAGGCTGGGACTAAGAGTTGGGAACAGGTATAGGAAGAAGTCCAGTGACAAAAGCCTGGTCAGGAATGGGGAATTAAAACAGATCACATTACATCAGCAGTCATGTCCAATGTTCCTAGTCCAAAGAGCTCTGCAATTATCACCTTGGTTGACTGTCTTGCAACTCCACCACTCACACGCAGGAATAGGCAGCCATTACCAAGGGCATGGTTGGACCTGAAGCTTGCCACTCAAGACCCTCCAGCATTTGGCCAAACTTCCATCTCCATCTTATTTCTTCCCCTTCATGAACTGTCATTTTAAATCAAACTCCATGCCATGACAAATCCCCACCCCCGCCATGACCGGGGGAAGATCACTAGGCACCCTCCTCATCCTGGTAAATGTACCTCCCCCTGCTGAAATTAGACCCATTTTCCAAGGCCTTCCCTGAATCTCTAATCAGGAGAGGTTTCTTCCCCCAACTTCCATAAAATTTTCTTTTGATGTTTACCTTTACCATGGCATTCATCACATGCAAACTTGCTTTATGAATAATTTTCTTTCTTCCTCCTAGCTCCTATACCACATTTTCATGAAGGCAGTGACTGTATTTCATTACAATAAGTGCTCCTACTTATTGGGCATGTACCAATATGCTTACCACTTCTTATAAATTTTCTCTAAACTTATAAAAAATCAATAAGTAGGGGTTATAATTCTCATTTTTACACATCTCTTCCAGCACATAGAAAGCTATGGCTAGGCGAATGAATGGATAGGTGGATGGGTGGATGAACAGGTAAATGGGATGGATGGATGGATGGATAAATGAATGGGTGGATGAGTGAATATACAGATGGATAGATGGATATTGAAAACATCCAGTTGACCCAAATCCAAAATATTACCTTCCTTCATCAGGAGTTCCTTACCCCCACACCAAATCAGGAAGTGGGAGATGATATCAGTTATAAATAAGCCTTCCTCTACTGTAGAAAATTCATATTGCCCCAACCTTCAGGTTTAGTCAGATGAAGGTAATATCCTCAAAATAAAGAATAAGTGAATATTCCATAGGTTTCTTAAGCAATGCAAACCAGTGAAAAGGCTTTAGGGGAACAAAACCTGCCTCACATCTCTTATCTCAGGGTTTACTAAGTTTCTGTCCTTAAGCCTTGAGCAGCTTATCCTTTCCTTAACCATCAGTGTCCTCATCTGTAAGACAGGAGAATAACCACATCTTCCTCACAGGTGGCAGAGAGAGGAAAGTTAAGTAGTGGAGGTAAAAGCCTGGCACAAGTGGACCCTTAATAATTGTTCATTTTCTCCAATCTCTAATTCCAAGAAATGTAAGAAGCTGTGAAAGTAATGAGGTCTTAAAAAACAAAACACCAAATAAAGAGTTCTCCCCACTTAAAGCTCAGCATACGCCTACACACTGTCATCATCCCTTCTCTACCCAGGTTGATTGTCACAAAGCCATTCCTAAGGCACTGACAGATGTAATTTCTTGCCAATTTTGTCTCTTGTCCACTTGGCCCTCATCCTTATAGGGTTTCCTCTTTCTTTGCTTCTACTAATGCTTGAAATTAAGACAGTTTTCAGTTTGTTTCTATGTTTGAGTTGTGGTTGAAGCAGGTATCTCCAACAAACCCAGAAAGCCTCAAACTTCCTAGGGAACCTTGGAAAGTCTACACAGTGTTTGCTATCTAAAGGAAAATTCTTCCCTTGATTGTCCAAATCCTTCTGTTTAAGTCCAAGGGAAAAGCTCAGCGTCTGTTCCACCTGACCCTATGGATACAATAGTTGGATGTTCCCATGTCCTCTACAGAGAGTTCTACAAGGGAAAATTTCAAACACATGTTTTGGAAGCAGAAGTCCCAAGTGCTATGAATGAAACATATCAGTCATCATTTTTCTACCCTTCCTCTATTTGTAGCCCAGAAGCTAAAAATCACCTGCCATCTTGGAAATAATCCCTGGAGGATCAAGTCCAAGGGGGAGAAGTGGACTGGTCACCCCAGCCGAGGTTATCTAAGTTCCATGGCTTACTCCAGACAGGAAGCCCCACATCCTGCAGCCTCATTCATAATCCATAATAGATGGTGTTCTTGGATCCCAAGTTGAGAAAAGAAGTTAACTATGCACATTTTGGCAAAGATGCAGACCAGGGTTTGATCTAAGCAGCTATCACATAAAATAATAAAGTACAAATGGAAATGGCAAAAATGTGCCCATATCACAGTGCAGAGTGTGCCAAAGCTGACCGAAAAATTATGCATTTTTCATGTTTCAATAAACGTACTTAACTGGCATTTTGTGGGACACTGCTGGGTGACAGCCCACGGCATCAGAGCTGGCAAGGAGCCCACATCCTGCAACGCTGGCAGTTCCCCATCTTCTCCATTAGCTCAAACCACATGGAGAGACGAGAGCAGGACAAATGAGACACCTCTTTTTTTTTTCCAAGTATATTGGAGTCCACCCAGGAAAAAAGCCAGGCAGGTTGACAAAAAGTGTAGGCAAGTGTTCCCAGCCTCTCCACTGCATACTCAACGAGGGAAATCATAAAACCACAGTCATTCAAACAGCCATTTAGAGTTTACAAGCGCTTTTCAGATGTATTCTCTTAATCCTCACAGAAATGCTAAGGAACGTATTTTTAAGGCCCTTGTTTTACAGATTACATAAATGGAGGCTCAGAGAGGTCGAGGGACTTTCATAAGGATAAACAGCCGAGTAAGTGCCAGACAAGGGGCTGGATCCAGTCCTTTCTGCCTCTCGCACCTGTGCTGTGGGCTGCCTGCCTCCTGCTTCACCCAGACCCACATCAGTCAGTCTGATTTTCTGCCTCACACCCACGCTGTAAAGGCCAGGAAGTTGGAACATGTCTGGGTAGAAATCTGATTCTCAGACCTTCGGGACAGAGATAAAGAAGCTGTTTTCAAGTTGTGGTAGGGAAAACCACTTACCCCTTCCTCATGTGTGCAGGAAAAAGTTAACACACAGAAAACTGATGTTTCTTAGTGGCCCGGTTTATTTTATGCCCCTAAAGAGTCAGAAATGGTGATATGCTTAAGTAGGAGGACATCCACAAACATAGCACAGGGATATTCTGTTATGCTTGTGTTTGCCTTTTCTGTCCCTCCAATCTCTTTCTTCCTTCCCTTGGCAACCTTTTGGGGCACTCCTAAAAGACATGGGAACTGAGACCTAAGCTCACATTTGGTTCAAACTTATTCACTGCTTTCCCCAAAGGTTTGAGAAGCAATTCAAAGCCTTCTGTCTGTCACCTTGTGCACAAGAAGAGACAGACTGGTTTGAATTGGTAAGATCTTTGGGATCCCCAACTGAGACAGGTTCAGCTAACCCTTTCTCAGAAACAATGTGAGCTCACCTAGTTTAAGTCCATGGGGAGCAGGGATGGGGACAGGACATCAAATCCATCATGAAAGATTATTCCACAGAATATATGTTCTGGGTTCTCTTTTTTAAAAAGCGTTTCAGAGTTCTGACTTCTACCGTAGAGACAGAAACAGGGCTTAGGGAAGCACTTGGTGCAGGCCAGGCCAGGAACCCAGGTCAATTCTAAACCAAACTCTGATCAACTGAGGAGTAAACAGGAAGCGTGCTCCTGTTATCATAATGTTCTGCTTAATTGGGAACTAAGTAGAGTCTAGTGAACATAATTAAATCTTTCTTTGATAATTGGGAATCTAGCAGTGCCCCGGGGTGATCATGCTAAACATCAATTATCAATTCTCACTGGTGGGAATGCAGGCAATTGAGTTCAACCTGAAGTGACTTTGAGGCCGACTACAGGACATTCATTTTTACTGAACCCCTATTACCAACTTATTACTTTCCCTCTTTCCTAGACAGCTAGTGCAAGGAAAATTCTGTCCATGAGATATTTTCAGTTGTTTGAATCAGTTAATCAAGATCTCCATGCAACTATTCAGAAATTAGAAGAGGTCTCAGAATGTCAGCTTATTGTACCTGGTTATTAAATCAAATAAATCTAGCCAGATACAAATAAATCCTTGGATTTATTTTGCAAATTTCTTTTGAGGTCCACTCCTGCCTCCAGTACCCCTGGTCAGATACATTCTCACCTTGCATGAATCAGATAGAATGAGTCAAAGGACGCCAAGTCAACTGAATATTGAAGGCCCAGTTCTCCTACTATGTAGCCATTTGACATCAAGGAGCCTATTTCACTTCTGAGATTCCGTTTCCTTATCTGCACACCTGAAGGTTGCACTTATTGGTTCTTAAACTTTCAGGAATACAAATCTTCTTAAGAATCAGAGAAAAATGGCCAGGTACAGTGGCTCACGCCTGTAATCCCAGCATTTTGGGAGGCCGAGGTGGATTACCTGAGGTCAGGAGTTTGAGACCAGTCTGGCCGACATGGTGAAACCCCATCTCTACTAAAAATACAAAAAATTAGCCAGGCATGGTGGCAGGAGCCTATAATCCCACCTACTTGGGAGGCAGAGGCAGGAGAATTGCTTGAACCTGGGAGGCAAAAGTTGTAGTGAGTCGAGATCACACCATTGCACTCCAGCCTGGGCGACAGAGTGAGACGCTGTCTCAACAAAATAAAAACAAAAACAATCAGAGGAAAATTAAGAACATTTTTCCCAACAGGGAAAAAGGAAAATACGTACAAAATGTTTATATTCTAAACAGGGGAATGGGGTCATGGACCCCCCCCCGCCCCCACAAGCCCATCATCTTGTGACCCCTTCCAGGAACTTCCAGCTTAAACTCCTGGGGTAGAAGACCCCTTGGGCCTTTTTGAACACTGGCATCCTCTGAATCCAGCTAACTACAAGCATAGAGAGTAGTGGTTCTCAGCCTTAAATCTACATGGAGACCCCGGGGGAGTTTTCAAACTCTAACGCTCGGATTGATCCCTAGATCAGTTAAATCCATGTCTTTGGGGGTGGGTCCCAAGCATGAGTATTTTTTGACCCTCTCCAGGTGATTCTAATGTGCAGACAAGTTTGCAAACCACTGCTGTAGAACAAGAATTCTCAAAATTAGGAATGAATAGCATCCCCCAGGGAGAAGGCAGTTTCCCAGGCTACTGCCCTACATGATTCAAACACCTTCTAGTCAGATCCTGCCTGGGAAAATGCACTGATAGTCGGCATCCCAGGCCATTCTGATGTAACTACAATGTGGGAGCCCAGTAAGATAGCCATTTAGCAGGAGATACCCAGAAGGGTCCTCTCCTCACCTACCCTGTCCTCCCAGACAGCTCTGCATGCTCTCAGCAGGTCTCCAGCCTTATTCAGGAGGAGCCTCAACAGGTCCCCTTCATTTGCCAAACAGGCTTTTTCTCCACCTTTCCCATTTCTAGAAAACTCGGATCTTTTACCCAGAGCCTCTGATCCCACGAGGATCAATAATTTAAGCAGAACAATCATCAACATCGTCGTGTTTAATATTTGAATTCCATAGCATCACTTAGGTCAGCTTCAAGGTGAGAGCCGACTCCTGTTCTCTTGCTGTTAACAAACTGGGCCAGTGACTGCCAGAGGGGACTGTGTGCATAGCTCCCAGGCAGGCCAGCCCAGGCAAACACCCAGCCCGCCGGGTTCTGCACCCACTCTACCCTTTCCTACCTGAAGCGTGTGCAGCAGGACCTGTAGCCCACTAGCTTCTTGTTCGGCCATCCTTTTCTCGGGTCCTAGGGAACCGCTGCCTGCGGCCAGATCCAGGCTGGAGAGGCAGCGGCTGCCAAGCTGACCTCGCTGCCCGCCTCGCAGGAGACGACTGCCCGGAGGCCTCAGCTGCACATGCTGCTGAGTGTGAAGTCAGCGCGGTGCAACCCTAGACCTCGGCACAGGCGTGAATACCCACCGACTCCCACTGTGGGGATTAGGTGAGCCCCTGCTGTGGGGAGGGCTGAGCATTTGGGTGCAGGGGTGGGGAGGGCACCAGCATGAGTCACTCACCCACCTCCAGGCCCATGCAGGAGCAGAGCAAAGGAGAAGCCACCCTGGATGGCTGACAGGCATTCCCAGCTGACCTGGTCAGACTCCCTCTAGAGGCTCGCTCAGCCCGCCCCGCTACCCCACCCCACCTCTTTATTTTGGTCTGTTGCCGGCTCCCGGGTAACAGGAGACCCAAGAGTGCTTGCACAACTGTGGCAGTTCAGGGCATAGAAACCCAGGGCCCCCTGAGGTCCCAGGCTTAGAAACAGGAGCTCTGGCTGAAAAGGAAAATAAGTATTCTGGACATTTTTTATGGACCACGTCCCTTACGTAATCTTTTAATTTTTACAGTAACCTAATAGAGGTGGGTACTATTATGACTACCCTATCCCTGTTTTACAAATAAGAAAACTAAGGCACTGAAATGTTAAGCCACAAGAACACAGAGCTTAGAATTGCATGCCAGGCCTCAAACAGGCAAGCTGGCACCAGAACACAAGCACTACCCATTGCACCATCCTGCCTCTTGCTGCAGCAAACACTTCAAAGTAATGGAGGTCTGAGAGCCATGTCCTCAGCCTCAGGGACAGCAGATGCCCGGGACAAGTTTCCTTCAGACCAATGTAGAATCCATGATCACTTTCTATGTTTTCTGCTAGGGATGTGTGAGCAGAGTCTTAGCGACTAGCTTCTCCTCCTCCCCATATCAACACCCTTCAATGCTGACTTCTCAAAGTATGGTGCTAGGGCGTCACCTGGAAGCTTGTTACGCCTCTCCCCAGAACTACTGTGTCCGAAACTGCATTTAAACCAGATCCTCGGGGGATTTAGAGCTGGTTAACAAAATGACCAGAGGATTAAAGTTTGGAAATCTCCAATTTCGACTATATTGATTACATTGCCTGCGTGTTCAACAACTCTGACAATATTTGACCCAATAAACGAGTGCCCAGCAAGGTCAAAGCACAACTTTACTGTGTTGAAAGCTCGCTTTATTGCATGAAATTGGAGCGCTGAGCTCAGTGGAGATTCTGACTGAGAGCACGGTCAGGTATTATAGAAGAGTCTCAGTGACTGGGGGAGTGGGCTGCCAGCCAACACCCCCGTGCGGAGTTTAGGGAGATTCTGTGAGCATCACAAGCATTCATTAGGCAGGTACCAAGCACATTGGGGTGACTGAAGAAACTGCATTTCCAGATCCTGCTTGGCCTAAGTGTTCTGAAGTCCCGAGTCAGGGGTCAGGCCTGGCCAAACCCTCAATTCAAGGGCAAATTCATGTAGTCCTGCCCTCAAGAAATTTCCACTTAATGGCTTTAAATATGAAGGCCTCCCATCTTGGGAACTGACTATAAGCGCTCACATTTATGAAGCTTGCGGGGTGGGGTTGACGCCGTCTACCCCTACCCCAATTTCTCTACATCTGCTGCCAGGAGGGTAGAAATAGAGGTTCTCTATGGATTTCTATGGGAGGGTGACGCTTTTTAGGGCATGTGCTCTCTAATCCTCTAAGGCCCAGGGTGAAGGGAAGACAGAACTGTCTCATGTGATTGTCTTAAGGGGAGATCATTTCATGGTTGTCAACTGGAGGATAAAGAAAAGAGATGGGGGAAGAAAGAAACAAAACCATTTTCCCAACATAGACCTAAAAAATAGTTCAAAGATAAAAAGTAGTGAGAAGTCATAAAAATGACCTCAGAGGAGAGAACTAAAGGTTTTGTGGTCACACTCCCTGATATTAGAATTGGAGCAAAATTTTCTCCATTTTGAAGAGTGTCTCGGTTAAGCTGCCTGGAATTGCATAGGGCAGAAGTGAGATTAAAATCCTATATGTAAAGGATTGCTCTCTTCTACTTAATGATGACTTTCCCCCCACCGCAGTGCCAGGAACCTGGTTTCCAGTAAACCCCTTGTGAGATAAGGAATGGGCTCCCTCTCTTTCAGGTGACACATCTGCCTCCCATGCCCAGCTTGGCTGCTCTCCCCTTCATCCTCTGGAAAGTTACTGCCCACTTGGCCATGTGGATACATGTGGATGCCAGAGAAGGAACAAAGTGCTAGTTTTCACCCTCTAATTTTTCTAACAAAACTAGGATGTAGGCCAGCTTATTGTCAGCCCTCCGCCGCTCCTTCAGCACGCTCCTCCCTTATGCCTCAACAGAGCCCTGTGGAGACCCCAGCAACCCTGTTTCCCTGCCTAGCAGAACCCTCTTCACTCTCATAGTTAGGGAAAGCCCCAGAAGTACCCACACCCGAACTCCCCTCTCCTGAATTCTATCTTAATGACAGCCCATTCTGTTAGTGAACTGATTACTTTAGGCTGAAGTATAAATGGGTGACAGCAGGGAATTATGCTCTTCCCCAGTTAACATCTGGATTTTAGCAGGGACTCTCCTGAAAGGCAGGTGAGTGTGGAGTCTGCTTGGGCAATACAATATCCTACCCAGAGTAGACTGAAGTGAGTACTCATTAAACCACACGGGGCAGGCAAGAGGGGTTGGTCAGTGCCTAGGGCAGGCCATGGGGGAGGAGGCTTCTTTGTGAAGCTGAGAGAGGACTTCCTACACATTTTACATAATATCTTCTGAAGAAAGGGTTTAGGGAAGCCAGAGAGGAGGTTCAAGCAGAAATTCAGAGAGATCTTAGTCCTCTGGCTTTAAAGAAAGACACATTTCATGTAATCCAGAGATTCCTGTTGCAATTCAGGCATCCCCCAGACCACCTTCTGGTTTAGTGATTTGCTAGGACTCACAGTTATAGTTTATTACAGTGAAATGATACAGATCCACATAAGCAAAAAGAGAGAGGCACATAGAGCAGAGTCCAGGAGAGACCATACGTGAGCTTCCAGTTTTCCTTCCCCTATAGAGTTATGCAGCCAACACTCCCAGCAACAATGTGTGCAACACACACAGGGTATTGTCAACCATGGAAGCTCACTTAAGCCTTGGTGTCCAGGGTTTTATTGGGAGTTGGTCATGTAGACATGAATGGCCTTAGTCTCTATCCCTGCCAGAGGTCAAGCTTATACTGTGTTGCCCAGGGCCCCCAGGTAAACAAAGACACTCACGAGGCAGGACATTCCAAGGATTTAGAGATTAGCTCCCAGGGCTAGACGAGGAACAAATCTTCCTTTAGGCAAGATTAATCCTTTGCCGCACACCTGCCCTCTTATCCCATCATCTCAGACTCAAGACTCTCATATCTTATGAATAACACAGAGAAAGAAGTGCAGGCTTCTATAATTAGAAGAATTCGATAGTGAGCAGAATGCCAGACTCAAAGAGTAGTAATTAATAAATTGACACTGACATAGACGGTTTTCTAACAGCATTTATTCAGTCCCCTTGCTCTTTCCTATTCAACATTTTTATCAATGACTTGGGTGAAAATAAAGGCTACACGCTCATCAGATTTTCGGATGACACCCAGTTAAGAAAGATACGAATATGTCAGATGACCGAGTTGGAATCCAAAAAGATTTCAACAGCCTTGAGTAATGGACCAGATCCTACAGGATGAAATATAATAGAGCCAAGAGTAGAAATTCCCTCCCCCAGGTCTTCACTACCACCTGACAAAAATAAGGTTGGGAGGCTTGGCTAAACACTGCTGAATGTGAAAAAAGCTTGGGGGTTTATCCAGAGGTGAGACCAATATGAGTTTTCAGCATGACCCCATATCCCCAAAGCATCTTTTCAGTCTAATGTCATCACCTCTAAAAGGGGGATAAATGTTGTATCTGTAACCAAAATAGCAGTGAGGCTGAACTGAGATTTTTCCATTGAGAGTAAAGGTCCCTAGAAGATAAATTCTCCATAGATTTTTTTTTTTTTTTTTTGAGATGGAGTCTCACTCTGTTGCCCAGGCTGGAGTGCAGCGGTGCAATCTCGGCTCACCGCAACCTCCATCTCCTGGGTTCAAGTGATTCTCCTGCCTCAGCCTCCTGAGTAGCTGGGATTACAGGAGTGCACCACCATGCCCGGCTAAGTTTTGTATTTTTAGTAGAGCTGGGGTTTCACCACGTTGACCGGGCTGGTCTCAAACTCCTGAGCTCAGGTGATCCGCCCAGCTCGGCCTCCCAAAGTGCTGGGATTATAGATAGGTGTGAGCCACCGCACCCGGCCCATAGATTTAAATTCATAAATGGCAAACAGGATTTCTTTCCTGAGAGTAGAAGGGAGAGAGTAGGTAGCAGGAGAGCATGCCCTGCCATGAGGATGGCAGCACAACTTCCAGGAGTCTTAGCCGTGCCTTGAAAGATGCAGTGACTTAGCGCTCAAGAGTGCAGGTACCACAGGCAGAAGAGGAGGCATGAAAGCAGGGAGTTCCTCTACTACTGCACCTGGAACCAGCCCCGCTCCACTCTAAACACAGAACACGTGGTTTCAAGCTTTTGCTCCCATGTCTATTAGCTATGTGACTTGGAGCTAAGTTACCTAATCTCTCTGTGACTCTGTTTTCTCATCTGTTAAATGGGGGAGATGATAATGCTTACCTCATAGGGTTGCTAAGAGGATTAATTTGAGCAGCACTTAAGTTTTCAGCGCAGTGCTGGTCATCTGAAAAGCACTCAATAAATGCAGTCGTTATTGATATTATTGTCATTATTACATTTCAGATTTGATAATACCTACTAAAATAATTGGTGAGAGGGTTAAATGAGCAAATGCATGTGGAAGTGACTAATGGACTTTGATGACAGGGCGGTAAATTATTGAGCAGTGATACCCTAGACTCCTCCTAAATAAGAGGGTACTGGGTGAGGAAAGTGACTTGACTTGACATCCATATTTCTGCCCAGCAAGAAATAGGTTTGGAGTTCTGATCATTCCCAAGCATCTCTCAAATGAATTGACCACAAGGCCTGTGCAACTGAAGGTGCCACTGAGGGCCTGATGAGATACCAGACAAAGCAAAAAAGACGTAGATGAGAGCTCTGCCTCTTTCAAGCTACAGAGACAGAGAGCAACAGCCTGATCCACCATGGCCAGTGGCCTGTGCAGCAAGCTGAAGGGAAGCCAAACCTGTGGCGAGGATGGGCTGACCAACACCAGGGGATTTTGCCCTTTGAAAAAGAACTTGAGACTTAAAGTGAGAGATCCGAAGCAGCTTAGTCGTCTCCACCACAGTGAGATCTTGTAACAAGGGCAACACAGGACACAACAGAGAGGGGCAGAGAAAGCATCTCCAGGCAATACCAGAATCACGACTGCGCTCCCAACAGCACTGGTTAGGAGGAACTACTTTCTCATGGGGTGTCCTATGATCTGACTGTATCACCACAAATTTACATATTGAAATCATAATCCCCAATATGATGGTATTAGGGGGTGTGGCCTTTGGGAGGCAGTCAGGGCATGAGTGTGGAGCCCTCATGAATGGGATTAGGGTCCTTATAAAAGGGCCCTTGTATATAAAGAGCTAAATATTAATATTAGTGCCTTTATGAGGCTTGCTCCTTTCACCACCTGAGGATACAGCTAGAAAGAGCCACCTGTGAACCATGAAACAGGCCCTTAACCAGACATTGAATTTTAGGCTTCCCAGTCTCCGGAACTGTGAAAATAAATTTATTTTGATTATGAGCCATTCAGTCTAAAGTATTTTCTTTTAGCAGACCAAATGGACTAAGACAAGGAGGAATTGAATCTACTCTACTCTCTTTATAGTGTTATATAAGTTATGTTTTTTAAATTGTATGTTGTTCTCAAATGAAACTGAATGTACTCATTTTTCACTAGCCGATAGACTCAAAGAACAATTCAAATATTTTTATATCTGGCTATGTATCTGGCTATTCCATTCTGGGGTCCAGAGTGTACAAAACAGGTGAACAATAATTCTTGCTAAATGTTACAATTCAATCATTTCTGGCATAACTTTGAGGTCCAATAATAATAGGAAGGCTTCCCTTGGTGTTGGGAGAACATTCTTGACCACCACTCCCCCAGCTTAATTATCAGAGTCTTAGTCATACTTGTCCAAGATTCAGAAAGCTCATCACCCTGCCTTTTCTTATCTACAAATCCTGGTCTATTAAACAGGTGTCCAGGTGATAACTTATTCTCCTTCACTGTCTTGGAAGGTTTTTCTCCTCCTCCTGGTTGATGTGAAGCAAAGCCCACATCCTTCAGGACCTATGGGAAGTGGTAGAATACAAAAGTCACACAAAGGGGAACGCCTAGAACAGTGAGGGGAGGTTTCAGTGGCAGTTGATTTATCCTCCTTCTCTCAGTAGTGCTCACCTGCCCCAACCCAACCACACACCACCACCACCCAAACCTCCTACCCCTTTGACCTCTAGTGTGGAGTGATAAGGGTTATAATTAGGATGAGTTCATACAGGGAGAAGATTGTGTGAGGCTGTGGTCTCACAAGGAGTTTCTTGTGAACTATGGAAGCCTTGCTTTCAAATGCAAACTTTTTAGATGGGATCAAGGACCATATTGCTCGTTTATATGTAAATTGTATTTTCTGGCAGAAAAATATAATAAAGCATTTTTTAAAAATCTTCCAAACTTTTCACACAGACTTAAGTTATTCCAGAATCCCAAAAAAGTATTATTACCACAAAAGGGATCACTGGTCCCAGGAGGAAATACATATTAGCATTCCAGGACCAACAGGTTCCTATGCCTGCTGTGAAGTAAACGACCAACACATTGAGACAGCCAGGTGTGCAGCAGAAGAAGAGTTGAATGATCACAGGGCAGATGGGTGAGGAGATGTGAGGAGACCCTCAAATCTGTCTCCCTGAGGAGTTCTGGGTTGAGGTTTCTAAGCGGATCATGGAGGGTGAGGGGCTGGAAAATTAGGGGCATTGATTGGTTTGGGTAAGGGGGAAGAAATCATCAGAATGTGGAAACTGCCTTCTTTGATGAGTCAGTTCCTTCTGGGGTCTTTCAGACCAGCTAGCATCAGTAGTTTCACTGACATGCATGACCAGAAAGAATATCTCAAAGGGAAAACTTAATGTTTCACAATAATTAAGTTGTTATCTACAGAGCAGTTAAGGGGAACTATAATCTTGTGTCAGGATTTCCATGATTCCGGGGTGGCAGACAGCAAACAACTATAAGGAAGCAAGTCAGAGAGAATAAGCTGAGCTAGTAAATGCTGAGTGCGCTGCAAGTTTGGTTTATTTTCATTTCTCCCCCTCCCATCTTTCCTGATAAATTCTATAATGTTTATAGAAATGGTTTCATTAGTTTAATTGAATTATTTCTATCAGAGAATACGAGAAGGGTAATTGGTTCTGGACTAGTCTCTATTGTTTATCGATTTCTTTACTTCATTAATATCTGCTCTTTATTATGTCCTTTCTACTTATTCTGGATTTAAGTTGTTTCTATCTTTCTAACTTCTTAAGGCACAAATTTAGATTACCAATCTTAAATTTTTCTTCTCTTCTAATATAAGCGTATAAAGCTATAAACTTCCCTCTATGTACTGCCTTTGCTGAGTCCCACAACTTTTCATGTGTGTTCATTATCATTTAGCTGAAAACATCTTCCAATGTTTGACACATGGGGTATTTAAACATGTGTTTTATAAATATGCAGATATTGGGACTTTGCCAGATGTCTTGGTCCATTCAGTGTTGCTTTAAAGGAATGCCTGAAGCTGGGAAATGTATAAAGAAAAGAGGTTTATTTGGCTCATAGTTCTAAAGGCTGTACAAGAAGCATTTGCTTCTGGTGAGGGCTTCAGGCTGCTTCCACTTATGGTGAAAGGCAAAGGGGAGCTAGTGTATGTAGAGACCATGTGGTAAAAGAAGAAGAGAGAGATAGGGGAGGTGCCAGGCTCTTTTTAACAACCAGCTCTCACAGGAACTAATAGAGTGAGAACTCACTCACTCTCCTGCTTCAGGGAGGGCATTGATCCATTTATGAGGGATCCACCCCCATGACCCCAACACTTCCCACTAGGCCCCATCTCCAAACACTACCACACTGGGGATTAAATTTGAGCATGAGATTTGGAAGGATCAAACTTCCAAACCATGGCACCAGAGTTCCTTTCATTAATCTTCAGTTTAATTCCATTACGGACAAAGAACATATTCTAAATATTGGAAGATTTCTGTCATTTGAAATTTACTGAGACTTCATTTTTGACCCAGCATATAGTTAATCTTAAAGAAAATTAAATGTGTAAATAAAAAAGAATGTAGGTTCTGAGCTGCTGGATGTAACATACTATAATTGTCAATCATATCAAAGCAGTTGCAATGGATTAGATGTTTGTATACCTCCAAAATTTGCATTGAAATCTTAATCCCTAATATGATGGCAGTAGGAGTTGGGGCCTTTGGGAGGTGATTAGGCCATGAAGGCAGAGCCTTCGTGAATGGAATCAGGGCTCTTATAGAAGACAGCCCAGTTATCTCCCTCATCCCTTTTTCATATAAAGACACAGTAAACCTGACAAAAACAAGAAATGGGGAAACGATTCCCTATTTAATAAATGGTGCTGGGAAAACTGGCTAGCCATATGTAGAAAGCTGAAACTGGATCCCTTCCTTACACCTTATACAAAAATTAATTCAAGATGGATTAAAGACTTAAATGTTAGACCTAAAATCATAAAAACCCTAGGAGAAAACCTAGGCAATACCATTCAGGACATAGGCATGGGCAAGGACTTCATGTCTAAAACACCAAAAGCAATAGCAACAAAAGCCAAAATTGACAAATGGGATCTAATTAAACTAAAGAGCTTCTGCACAGCAAAAGAAACTACCATCAGAGTGAACAGGCAACCTACGGAATGGGAGAAAATTTTTGCAATCTACTCATCTGACAAAGGGCTAATATCCAGAATCTACAATGAACTCAAACAAATTTACAAGAAAAAAACAAACAACCCCATCAAAAAGTGGGCGAAGGATATGAACAGACACTTCCCAAAAGAAGACATTTATGCAGCCAACAGACACATGAAAAAATGCTCATCATCACTGGCCATCAGAGAAATACAAATCAAAACCACAAAGAGATACCATCTCCCACCAGTTAGAATGGCGATCATTAAAAACTCAGGAAGCAACAGGAGCTGGAGAGGATATGGAGAAATAGGAACACTTTTACACTGTTGGTGGGACAGTAAACTAGTTCAACCATTGTGGAAGTCAGTGTGGCAATTCCTCAGGGATCTAGAACTAGAAATACCATTTGACCCAGCCATCCCATTACAGGGTATGTACCCAAAGGATTATAAATCATGCTGCTATAGAGATACATGCACACATATTTTTATTGCGGCACTATTCACAGTAGCAAAGACCTGGAACCAACCCAAATGTCCAACAACGATAGACTGGATTAAGAAAATGTGGCACATATACACCATGGAATACTATGCAGCCATAAAAAATGATGAGTTCATGTCCTTTGTAGGGACATGGATGAAGCTGGAAACCATCATTCTCAGCAAACTATCGCAAGGACAGAAAACCAAACACCACATGTTCTCACTCATAGGTGGGAATTGAACAATGAGAACACATGGACACAGGAAGGGGAACATCACACACCGGGGACTGTTGTGGGGTGGGGGATGGTGGAGGGATAGCATTAGGAGATATACCTAATGTTAAATGATGAGTTAATGGGTGCAGCACACCAATATGGCACATGTATACATATGTAACTAATCTGCATGTTGTGCACATGTACCCTAAAACTTAAAGTATAATAAAAAAGAAAGAAAGAAATTTTAAAAAAGACACATTAAAAAGATAGCTGTCTATGAACCAGGAAGAGGGCCACCACAAGGGAATGACTCTCCCAAAACCTTGATCTTGGACCTACCAGCCTTCAGAACTATGAGTAATAAGTATTTGTTACTTAAGCTATACAATCCATGGGGCATTTTTGTTATAGCAACCTGAATGGACTAAGAGAGTGGTTGACAGCCTTGTTGAGATCTTCTGTCTTATGATTATGGGATTTGTCTCTCTCTCCCTTTAGTTGTCAGTTTAGGCTTCATGTATTTTAAAGTTCTGTTATTAGGCAAGTACACATTTACAATTTCTATGTCCTCCTAATGAATTAAAACTTTTATCATAATGAAATGTCCCTCTATGTCTTTGGTAATACTTTTGTCTTAAAGTCTATTCTGTCTGATGTTAATATAGTCACTCCAAATTTATTATGCTTATGGTTTACATGCTACATCTTTTTGCATCCTTTACTTTACATTTATCTGTGTCTTACACTTAGTCATTTCTTGTACAAGGAATATAGTGGAGTCTTACTTTTTAATCCAGTCTGACCATCTCTGCCATTTAACTTGAGTGTTCAATTGTGTTTAATGTGATTACTGATATGATTGGTTTTGAGTCTGTCATTTTGCTGTTGTTTTCCCGTTTGTCTCATTTGCTTTTAGTTTTTTTCCTCCTCCTTTTTGCCTTGTTTTAGGTTCATCAAATATTTTTAGTATTCAATTTTAATTCTGCTATTGGCTTTTCAGCTCCATCTCTATGCATTATATTTTAATGCTTGCTCAAAGGATTACATTATGCATCTTTCACTTACCACAGTCTAGTTGGAGTTTATATAATACCATTTTATGTAAAAATATAATAACCATGCAACAGAATAGCATTATTTGCCTTCCCCTGTACTTTTGATATTGTTGTTGTATTTATTACGTCTATGTTTGTTATAAACCTCACACTATATTAATTTGGAAAAAATTATATAATCTTTTATATCTTGTTACATGGTTACCATTCCCAGTACTTGTCATTCCTTCCTGTTGATTCTATCAGGAATCTATCAGATGATAGATGATTCTATCAAGAATCATTTTTCTCCTGCTTGAAAACTTTTCTTTAGCATTTCTTGAATTTGTGATCTACTGGCAATAAATCCTCTCAATTTTTATTTACTGACAAATGTGGTCATTTTGCCATCATTTTTGACAGACACAGAAAAATTCTGAGATTCTGAATTGATAGGTTTTTTTTCTTCAAGCACCTTAAAGATGTCATTCTGTGCCTTCTTGTTTCCACTATTTTTATGTATTTATTTATTTTTGAGATGGAGTCTCACTCTGTTGCCCAGGCTGGAGTGCAGTGGTGCAAACTTGGCTTACTGCAACCTCTGCCTCCTGGGTTCAAATAGTTCTCCTGCCTCAGCCTCCTGAGTAGCTGGGATTACAGGTGCCCAAGACCACACCAGCTAATCTTTGTATGTTTAATAGAGACAGGGTTTCACCATGTTGGCCAGGCTGGTCTCGAACTCCTTACCTCAGGTGATCTGCCGGCCTTAGCCTCCCAAAGTGCTGGGATTACAGGTGTAAGCCACTGCACCCAGCCAGCTTCCACTATTTTTAAAGAGAAGTTAGTCATGATATGTATTAATGTTCTCAGTACGTGATGTGTCCTTTTGCTCTTGCTGCTTTCAACAATTTTTCTTTCCCTTTGACTTTGTAGTGCCTGTGGTTTTATTTATTTTATTGTCTGTTTATCCTGCTTGTGTTTAGTGAGTTCCTTGGCCTGTAAATTTGTGTTTTTCACCAAATGTTGAACATTTTTACCCTTTATTTTTTCAAATTTTTTCTCCCCCAATTTTTTCTCCCCTCCTTCTTGAACTACAATTAAATGTATCTTAGATAACTTGATATGGTACCCCTGGTTCCTAAGGCTCTATTTATTTTTAAGCCTTTTTTTCCTCTGTTCTTCAGATTGGACAATTTCTATTAATTTTATAAGTATACTTACCTGTCATCTACCATGTGATATTAAGCCCATCTAGTAATGTTTTAATTTCAAATATTTTAATTTTCAATTATACAACACCCATTGGCTTCTTCACACTTTCCATTTCACTGTTGATGTTACACATCTGTTTATTCATGATGAGTATATTTTTCTTTAAATTCTTGACCATGTTTTAAATAGATGCTTTACAGTATAGTCTATTGATTCCACTATCTTATAGTTTCTATTGCCTGCTTTTTCTTTTGACTGTGGAATACATTTTTCTGTTTCTATACTTGTCTGATCCCTTTTTACTGATTGCAAGACATTGTGAGTGAGATATTGTAGACATTAAAGATTCTGTTATTAGAAGAGCACTTGGGTACCATGCAGTCCATCTTTCTACATTTATAAATTATAAAAGAGAATCAGTCCATAGGGAGAAGGCAATTTACCAAGTGCTCAGTTAGTATTACTCACTGTAGCAGAACTGAAACTATAATTAAATTTCCAACCCTGAGTTCAGTGTTTTCCCAACTTTCCAACTTCCCATCTTACTGTTTTTTCAATACTTTTTCCAAACTTACTTCATGGGAATAATATTTTCTCCTTTTAAGGAGGGAATGCTGATCCCTTTCCTGATTTTTGTGCCTGAAGATCACTTATTCACTCTTCTAGATCTAGGGGTGCCACTACTGTTGCTGCTGACAATGATATCTGCGATCATTGGACACCTACTGCTTGCCAAGTACTATGTTTACACTACTATGTTTCAGTGACCATGCAGGAATTGTACTTACTTTATCTCATGCTAAACCATGTCTTCCTCTTTTGGCAGCTTACCATACACCACTTTGTCTACCAGCAGAATTAAATACTCATTTTTCTTATGTATCCAAAGCACATACATGTATAGCAAATTACTCATTATAATATATCACAATTGTTAATACATGTGGATATCTCTGACGTTAGGCTCTAAGTCTTTCAAGGGCCAGTGGAGCCCTCTAGGTCCATAACTCCCAGCATAGCACCAGGAACATATGTTGGGGTTCAGTTGCCTCCAATGAAAGAGGAAAGCCCCCTCTCTGGGCTAGTATACATGCCAGTATTGCCAGCCTTGTCAGCAAGTGGCAGCTCAGAGGTCATCCTATCCTTGGCCCTATGAGGCAGAGGGCCAACTCTACTCAGCATCCACTCAGGACTTTGTTGCCATGGACACCTGACAAAGTTCTTCAGGGAAAGCCAAGACAATCGCTACCCTCCCACCCAGGCTGTTTTATCCGTGGCCAGACCTGCAGTGCTGACAGGTGTAGAATGTCCATCAGACCCTTGCAGCTGGGCCAGCCCAGAGGCTCATGGGTTCTGGGCCCTAAAGCTGAAGTATCAGGTCACAAACAAGCTGGAACCAAGGGCTCCTCAGGTCAGGCTGCCCAGAGTAGGGAGGAGGAGGAATAGAGATATTAGCCATCAGGGCCGCCAGTCCAGATGCTTCCTTCTGCTTCAGTGAAGGCTGGAGGGACTGCAAGCCAGAACTACAGGAACTAAATGCCAAGCTGAACAGAGGCAGGGCTTCACTGAGGAGGGGCTATGAGGGCAAGGCCGCTCTCTAACATGTGACACTTTCATTCAGTCAGTCGCTCCATAAATATGTATTAATCATAGCTCTATAGTAAGGAGTATGCACAAGACAATAACGTAGGAGCTAAGACAAAATCTCTACATCAAGAAACCCAGGTTCATATCCAGGCTCTGCTAATTCTAGTTGCATGACTTTTAAAAAGTTACATAAATTCTCTGTGCCTTAGCTTCTCATCACTAAAGCAGGAATAGTAACATGAAGACTTGTAAAGATTAAGTGCGTGATACATTTAAAATGTATAGCCCAGTGTCTATCATACAATAAGTGCTCAATAAATGTTAGTAGTTAGTATTATCAGGCCCTAGGATGGCATCAAAGAGATTATAATAAGAAAATATAGTCCCTTGCCCTCAAAAACCCTTAGAGTAGTGAAAGAGATTAACTTTCATGTAACCTTTTCCAGTGTGATTTGATGCTACCAACTGCAATGTGGTAGCCCCAAGGAGAAAGCAAGTTCTCCTCCCTAGAGAAGTTGGGGAAATCTTCCCGAAGCATATGGTCATTGTACTAGATCTCTAAGAACTCCAGGCTGAAGAGAGCAGAGAGGCAACCAAGGTAGCAGTAGGAGTGTGTGACAGGTATACCTGCGTAAAAGAGTTTGGGTTGTTTGTTATAACAAAGGGTTGGCGCAGTATACAAGTATTAGAGCGCTCATGATGAAGCTATAGAGGGAACTCTGGCCAAATAAAAGTTTTGTTTTCTATAATGTGGCGTGGGAGCCCAGCGAAAGTATGTAAGCAGGGAAGGGACATACATAAAGGACATTTTCGTGTTAAAATGTTTTCTCTCTCCATGAAAATGTGAGCCTTCCACAACTCCACGTGCAGCGGAGGATATGGCAAATCCATCTCCCTCTCCCCTCATTCACACTAGGCTGTGAATAACTAATAAAGCAGGATGCAGTGCTTCACCAGGAGAACTTACAATTTACTAGGACACAATTGATTAAATCTGGGGCATCGTCCAGAGAAGGAAGGATTTTGAGATTCAAGGGACTTCCCCAAGTCCCCTCCCTATCTCCTCTTTTCAGGCGGATGTCTAGTAAGTTCATGACAATTGGAGGCTCCCTTTAGCAGTTTAACAATTGATCAACAACTTCTAATGGATCTATCCAGGGATACTCAGTACTCTGTGAACCTGTAAGACACTCTGGATTTCCCTTCTGGGATATTATGACCAACTGCTTCCACTGAGCTATCTGCCCTTGCTGTAGTTCAGAGAGGAAACACCATTACTCACAGCCTAGCTGTTGGGTAAGCAGAAAGCAAGATCCATGGAAAAGGCAAAGTATTTTGTCCCCCTTCTTAGTTTGTATCTCACACTTCACCCAGTGGGATCTTTTCTTTTCTCTCCCACATCTCATTTCCCATACAAATACATGATGACCACATGTTAGCCATGAACAATGGTGACCAGCTCAGGTAACTAAATTCAGTCAAGAATAACTTCAGAGAAGCATTTGAAATTTAAGTCTTCTACCTTCTATCAATTTAACAGAAGACATCAGTTTATTTTATAACAGAAGATTATTAAATACCTGAAAGCAGGCAGAGAGATATTTGAAAGGTAAGGAGGACCAACTCTACCTAAGCTTGGTATAACTTAGGATGTATCTCCACGGTGACTTGAAAGTCAACATGATTTAACCCTTTAATGATACTTGGGAATGGAATTCATAAGGAATGATATGACGGACAGCCCCCTGCCACCTGGATCCCCACCTCCTGGTGTTCATGCTTTTGTGTAATTCCCACTCCTTGAATGTTAGCAGGACCTAGTACTAGCTCCTTCTAACCAATAGCATACGGCGTGGGTGTGGACGTCACGTCTGTGACTGCACTGCATTGTACAAGATGCCACCTTGATACACACTTACTCTAGAGACTCTGCTTGCTAGCTTGATAAAGTAAGCAGCCACGCTGGGAAAGCACATGTGGTAAGGAGCTGTGGGCACCTCCGGAGGCCTGCCAGCAAGAAGCAAAAGCCTGGCATACACCCCCAAGCCTGCCCCTGCCCCTTCCCCGTGTCCCTTGCTACTATGCTACGGCTGGAGAATTTTATTTTTTTTCTGATATAGGATTTCTTTCTGTAGCCCAGGCTGTAGTGCAGTGGCTCGATTACAGCTCACTGTAGCCTTAACCTCCTGGACTCAAGTGATCCTCCCGCCTCAGCTTCCCAAGTAGCTGGAAACACACGCACGCACCGCCAAACCTAGCTAATTCTTTTTCGTTTATTTTTTATACAGACAAAGTCTCACTGTGTTTCCCAGGCTGGTCTCAAACTCCTGGACTCAAACGAGCCACTGGCTTCAGCCTCCTGAAATGCTGGGATTACAGACTTGAGCCACCACGCACGGCCAGAGGAGGATTAGACTGAAGCCTTTCGGAGAAAGCCATCATCATGAACAAAGCGTCCAGCCCAGCTGCTCTCCCTTCTGTACCCCTTCTTTCCCTCCCGCCCCCCACCCTCCAGCAACCTACCCATCCGCACAGGAATCCCAGGGAAATCATCCGCATGCCTGCACATCATTCACACTCAAAAATAAGGAAGCAAAAGAGAAAAACTACAAAATCTGATCTGGCTGGTTGAAACTGATTCTCATTACAGTGATTTACATGAATAGGAGCTCAAATTTGCATACCATTAAGTGTTTAAGATTAACTTGTGCAAGTTTTATTTGATTTCAGCCTTCAATTCTCCACGTAAGCTGAGCCTCCATGGTTTTCTCCTCCAAGTAACAGAGCTTTAAAACAAAAATTAAAAGAACTGCCACGTCTAACAGATTTCTTCTGATTCACTAGTTCACTTTGGGGGAGGGGAGCACAGTTGCGCTTGGGATGCTTCCTCAACACTGAAATGGCAGCTGGTGCAAAGATCAATACTCACATAGAAGCTTCTTTGAATAGGAAATAGAATATTAATAGTAAGCTCTGCAGAGCTCAAAGAAAGAGTTTGCAGAATACTCATACCGCCTGCCAGAACCAGAAGAAAAGCGGTTTCAGGGGTCTGTCATTTTCCACAAGCAGAAAGAATTTAATGTTCACTTTAAGACGGAAAGAACCCTGCCTCTAGGATTAGGCCACACCTGTCCACCGGACTTGCAGTGCCAAAACCTGGATGGATGTGTCTCATCGGCCAGCTCCTATAAAATCTAATAGCAGGACTTTACATGAGGACCAGGAGTGGCAACGAATATCTCCTCACCCTGGAAAATGATCGGGAAAAACAAGTTTTATGAGCTGCGCTAGCACACTGTGTCTGGGTGTGATTAATCCATCTCAAGAAAATGACTTTGAGAGCCAATTAAAGGCAGCTTAGAGGAGCTATTTTGCATTGTCTCTTTATTCTGTTTCTGGCGACAATTGTACCTGTCAGTAAAGCTGTGACAAACTATCAATTTCAGCGGCATGAATTTTCAAAGGAAAATAAGAACTGCTGCCCCGGGAGAGACTGGTTGTTTACCTCAGAGTGGAAATCCCAACCACCAAGATGGAGACCGTTAGGTCTGTGTGGTTTCCAGCTCCAGGTGACGCTTTGCAGGTCCTCCCCTCGCCTCCCTGTGACCTTCTGCTCTGGAACATGGGAACATAAGAACCACCACCTCTAAGCTCAGATAAAGCAAATACATTCCATCCTAGAAGAATGCCTCTGATCACAATGAAGTGGGAGCAGGAGAAGGAAAGAGGAGGAGGAAGAAGAGGAGGAAAAGGAGAAATGCTTTCTATATACCACACAAAATTATGTTCCTAGTTTAAAATGGCAACTGCTTAGAGGCAAACGAGCAGAACAGAGCTTTCTTTCAAGGCAATGACTTTACCTCCACTTAATCAACTCTTGTATCCAAGTAGGTAACAAAGCATTTTTAGTAGGGAAAAAACCCAAATCCTATAATCCTTCCACTTAATGCTTCCCCCAGAAAACAGGAACTGCCCCAACGCAAAGTATTGTGAAAAGAGTCGAACTGGAAAAAAAAAAAAAAGATGTGCTCCCAGCATCCAAGCCTGAAACGGAGTCAGATTGCCCAAAGTGGGACCGAAGCTCAAGGCAAAAGTAATCACTCCTGGGCTTGGACCAGGGAGATCCTCCTGGTTCCTTAGATTGCTGCATCCTAATGCCATACAAAAGGGACAGGGCTGGCTCTGCCTGCACCTCAGGTTCTGTCATTTGGGTAGTGTTGCAAGTGTGTTTTGATGCCTATCGGCCTCTGGTCAAGACAAGCATCTATCAGTTTACCTATCCAAGAGCTCGAGTCTTTGCCAGGTAGCCAGGGTCAGGCAGAGGCAAAACTGGGAAGTCAAGAGGCTAGTCCTGCAGGCCCCTACATTGTCCTTCTGGGAATGACAGGCACTTTTCAAAGCAGATATGGCTCCACTGACATCATGTTCTGCTTCAGGATTCCAGAAACTTGTGTAGCCCCACCCGGCTAAAAAGGTAAGCTATGCAGCTGCAGCCCCATTGCAAGCCCTGGGAAACACGCACAGTTTAATTAGGCCTTAAGAAGATAATGTCGTAATCCCAGCTTCCCTTGCTAGGCTCTTCCTGCAAAGCCTCTGGCCTCAGTGAAGCAACTATGGGCTCATTTTCCCAGTCTCTTGCCCAATGCTACATCACAAATGCTTGCGCACAGAAGCACGTGCACGCGCACGCGCACACACACTCCATCTTCTGTGCTTCTGCAAGTTTCCATCAGGAATCAGCTAAAACGCCAACTCCTTCACAAAGCATTCCCAGAGGCCTCCTCCAAGCATGAATCTGTTTCCCTGCTCGGCATCAAAAGCGTGCCTTCTCTTCATTATGTAGTTTACCATAATCTCCCACACCGGACTGTACCTAGTTTAGCATCCCAGACCAGATCATGGTCATCTGTGTGTCCTCAGTGCCTAATCCCGGGCCTGGGATACTGGAGATGCTTAGAAAATGTATCTTGAGGAAAGGCAGAAAAGAAGGGAAGAAAGGAGGGAGGGAGGGAAGAAGACATTTGACATGAAGGTTGCTTGGCTTCCTTAGGTTGCTAGAGATAGGCAAAGGAAAAAGTAAAGAGAGAAACTCACATTTCTTAAGTGCATATATGTATCTGGCATTATTCTAAGCACTTTATTTTATTATAAGCACTTTCATTTCCTTCAATATATTTTATATATTAAAAAACCAAGGTCGGTTAAGTAACTTTTCCAAGGACTCACAACAAATGAGGCTGAGAGCTGAAATTCTAAATCCCAGCTCATCTGACCATGGAAAGTGCACCTTTTTTCTCTTACAGCATTGTCTTCTTAGGCTCATAAAATATTAGAATAAAAATGAACCTTAGCGATAATCTAGTCTGAGCTCTTTGAGGCCCAGAGAGGTTAAGTCATTTGCCTCAGGTCATCCAGCTGGTCCATGGTAGAGCCAAGAACTCCTAACTCCCATTCCAGTGTTTTTTGGCATCATCCCTGGCTCCTTGGAAGGGCTACAAGTATGTGTGATATCACACTACCAAATTCTATTAAGAAATGCAGAACAATATTTGGGGAACAAGGCTAGCACGTTTTGTCTTCCCAAAGCAGCTGTGGGACCATAATTACACTGAGGAAACATACAAAGGAGACAATCAGCCCCAAACACTCCCAGATGCTGCTCACATCCCCTGGAAGAGATCTGTACCTCGAGGGGAACAGGAACTCTTAGAAAATTTTCTGTTAATCCTGTCAAAATCTGCCCTCCAGACGGGAGGATTAAACGATACCAGTATCAGGCCAGGCGCGGTGGTTCACACCTGTAATCCCAGCACTTTGGGAGGCCAAAGCCAGTGGATCGCAAGGACAGGAGTTCGAGACCAGCCTGATCAACATGGTGAAATCTTGTCTCTACTAAAAATACAAAAATTAGCCAGGCATGGTGGCATGCGCCTGTAATCCTAGCTTCTCAGGAGGCTGAGGCAGGAGAATCGCTTGAACCCGGGAGGCAGAGGTTGCAGTGAGCCAAGATGGTGCTGCTGCACTCCAGCCTGGGGGACAGAATGAAGACTTCGTCTCAAAAAAAAAAAAAAAAAAAAAAAGATACTGGTATCAGGACTTCCATTTATTTCCTTGTGAAATTATTCATTCCAATGGCTCTGATGTGCAGGTCTTCACACCTCAGTAGTTTTACTGCCCATGAGCACTTCTCCATCATCCCATGAGGTGGCCTGCTTTGCTGTCAACGTTTTCAAGATGAGCACACGGACACTGTGAGAAGATAAGGTACTTGCTAGTTAACAGCAGTAGTTTAACAGCCACGCAGAAGCCACCATCACAGCTTTCAAGCCACTGGGTTTGATCAAGAATAGGTTGCTTGGCTCAGATCTGTCTCCTGGGTGGAGTTTCCTTCTGTCTTCTCATCTTTGACTCTTTCCTCTTATGGTGTCCTCTCTCTGGCAATGTCCCCTTGCAACTCCTTCTAACCAGAAGACCTTCTCAAGATCCCCGCCCTGCTCCTGGGAGAAGGCATCACAGTTGAATAAAAAGAGCATTTGGCTCAGGCTCAGAACTTGACATCCCACACCTGCTTTGCTGTTTTATCCTCAGCAAGTGGCTTGAGTTCTCTGCACTTCTGTTTTCCACTTTGGAAACCAGGATGATAGTCAAGGTCTCCTTCAGCTGTGACATTTTGTGATTTATTCCAGGCCATTCTGGTTGGTCCACTATCTGACCTCCAGCACTTCACAGCCTTCCTGTGCAACTTAGAAATTCACTTACCCAGCTGGGTGCAGTGGCTCCTGTGTGTAATCCCAGCACTTTGGAAGGCTGAGGCAGGAGGCTCACCTGAGGTCAGGAGTTCAAGACCAGCCTGGCCAACATGGTGAAGCCCCATCCCTACTAAAAATACACAAAAGTTAGCCAGGCGTGGTGGCATGGGCCTGTAATCCCAGCTACTCAGGAGGCTGAGGCAGGAGAATCACTTGAACCTGGGAGGTGGAGGTTGCAGTGAGCTGAGATCTCACCAGCGCACTCCAGCCTGGGCGACAGAGCAAGACTCCATCTCAAAAAAAAAAAAAAAAAAGAAATTCATTTATCCAATAACTGTTTCGCATACACAGTCTCATCTCTCTAATAAATGTGCAGCTGCTTAAAGGCAAGCACTAAGGTAGTGTTTCTGGTTTATTCTCTGCAGAAGAACCATTTGGAACTCAGTAGATGCCTGGAGATGAATTAATCTGTTCAGTTCAAGCAGCTCATACCTCAATAGTAACATCACCGCCACTATGTAGGACAGGAGAAAAACAAGCATGTGGAAGAGGAGGAGTCAAGTCAGCCATTCTGGAATGTGACCAGGAAAGAAGTCAGGCTGAGCCCCTCAAGGGCAATATGTACCTAGGCTGTGCCTAGGTGTGGACACATGGGACCAAGAAGGAGCAAGTCAGTTGCCATCCAGGAAACAATGCCAGAAGGCTGCAGAGGGGAGCTGGGCAGCAATAAGGGAGGGTCAGGTGCTGCAGGAGAGATGGTAACCCCAAGTCTATGGAGGTTGAAGGCTGGTCCAAGAATCAACTCTGAAAGCTCAGCCTACCTTCCAAGTCATCCTTAGTTCAGGTGACAAGCTCTACTTGGAGGGATTAGAGTCTGCTTCCGTGTAAAGGAGAACAATGCAAGGGTCACAGCTCTTCCCTTCCTTTATCCTAGCCAGGCACTTGTCTGTCTCACCAGTTGCATTGGTTCCAGCTTTCAAGGAAGGCTTTTTGAATGATGTACTTTCCCCTCTGTATTCCTTTAGAGGATGGGCTCTGGAGCCAGACTACCTGAGTTCAATCCTGGCCCCCCTTCTTACCAGACTGACTACCTGTGTATCCTTGAGCAGGTTGCTTCATGCCTCTGAGACTTGGTTTCCTCATCTGTAGAATGGGCATGACAATAATGCCCACACCCATGCGGTTGTTTTGAGATGTAAGGAATTAGTACTTAACATAAAGTCCTTCAAACAATTTCTAATGTGTAAGTGTTACTGCTATTTTTTTTGCTCCATTTTAGCAAAATATCCCCTGAAATAATCAAGCACCCATCCTCTGAGGTACTTACCTTTCAGAACAAATTGGGTTTCCTGCCTACAAAGCAAACTTTTTCTAAGATACAACTGAGTGATTTACCTGCAAGCCTTTGGTAGATGTTTTTCTCTTATGTCTCACCTTTAGAATGAATGGGAAATTAATTTAGCTAAAAATCATTTCATTCTATAAATGACTGTTGCTGGGGGTATGACTTAGGCACTGCAGTGGGCTTATATAAAGTACAGTCCCAGCCGGGCACGGTGGCTCAAGCCCGTAATCCCAACATTTTGGGAGGCCAAGGCGGGTGGATCACGAGGTCAGGAGACCACGACCAAGACCATCCTGGCTAACACGGTGAAACCCCGTCTCTACTAAAAAATACAAAAAATTAGCCAGGCATGGTGGTGGGCACCTGTAGTCCCAGCTACTCGGGAGGCTGAGGCAGGAGAATGGCGTGAACCTGGGAGGCGGAGCTTGCAGTAAGCCGAGATTGTGCCACTGCACTCCAGCCTGGGCAACAGTGTGAGACTCCATCTCAAAAAAACAAAACAAAACAAAAGTACAGTCCTGAACCTCAGTGCACTTAAAACCTTGTGAGGGAGTCACACATGTGGCAAAATAGCATAGAAACAGAATACACCATGTGCTGTAACAGAGCTACAAGATATTATGGATACCACGTGCAGAGAGAGGACCTTGTATAAGATAGACATCATCCTGTTGCAAGAAACAAGACTTACTCACCTTAAGCTGAGTGAAAGGGAATCTGTTATGAAGATACTGAAGTATCTTCCAAGCACCAAAGGCAAGAAGAGAGTCCAGTTTACTCACGCATTCAACAAATGTTTATTGAGGGCCTACTGTGTGTCAGGCACTAGGTATTCAGCAGCAAACTATGCAGATAAAATCTCTGCCCTCTTGGAGCTTGCATTCCAGTGGAAGGAGACAGAAAATGAACAAAATGAGTCAAATATGAATTATGTGAGGAGATGAGGAGACCAAATAGCAGGGGAGCAAAATGGGGATGAGTGAGAACTTGCAGGGTGATGATTTTAAACAGGATGATGATGGAAGGCCTTGCCTGGAAGGTTCTATTTCAACTAAGTCTTAAAGGAGATGAGAGGGTAAGCCTTACTGACATCTGGGGAAAGAGCATCCCAGGCAGAGGATGCAGAAAGCAATGTAAAGGAACAGACCAGGCCTGCTTGGGAACAGTTGGGGACCTGTGTGGCCCAGAACAGTGAGCCAGGGGAGATTCATAGGATCCAAGGTCAGAGACAAAGGAAAGCCAGACCATAGAGGGCCTCCAAGGTCAAGGGAAGGACACTGGCCTTAGTCTGAGGGAGAAGGAACACCATCAGAAGGTTTTAAGCAGGTTTCCTGTGAATTAGATGGGGAATGTGAGAGAAAGAGAAGACCCAAGAATACTCCAGACTTAATGTATCCAACTGGTCCAACTGCCTTTTTGTCAACATCCCCACTTATGTCAAATGGGCAACTTCAACCTACCACGGACAAAGCAAGACTCCTGATTTTCCCCCAAAACCCGGATCTTTCCAATTTTCTCCAGCTCAAGAAATGAAATTCCATTCTTACAATTGCTCACCTAGACTCTGCCCTTTCTCTCACACCCACATTCAACTCACATCCACATTTTCAAATTCACCAGGAAATCTGTCTTCTCTGTCTCAAAAGACACAAACCCATCTCTTTCTTGCCCGACCCCTCACCCCGCCACTACAACTACCGTGGCCCAAACAACCATCACCTCTTGCCTGGAGGATAATAGTGGCCCCCTAGCTAGCCTCTCTGCTTCTGCTCCTGGCCCTCGAGGTTATTCTCTACATAACAGCTCAAGTGCCTTTTAAGCCAACATCATGCCATGCTGTTTTAGTGGCTTCCCCCTCCTACTCAGAGTGAAAGCTGAAGCCCTCGTAATAACTTCCCTTTGCTCTACCCCAAGTAAGCACTCAGTGTATGTGTGTCCCACGAATGAATGAATGGATACAAGGATGATGGGAACTGAGAACTTGAAAACCATCAGGAACCAAGACAATCACTGTGTCTTTTTCTCTGCATTCCTCCTCCAACTGCCCGGCTTTGTCCCTCTGAAAAGAGCAAACTATTATTGACCACAACGTTCATTTTTTGTCCACTTAGCTGTGCCTGGATAGGAACAAAATCATACTTTGTGCAAACTCTCTGGGTAGACAGGAAGGCAGGGAGGAAATGGGAAGGATTGCCGGCATAGGAGCAATACATAAAGGCCTTGGCATCAAATTCAGTAAGAGAGATGAACAAAGAGAATCGTGAAACAAACGAGGGGCTTCAAAAAAGAAAGTGCAGAGGGAGAGATGAGGAGATTACATAATTGTAATGCTTCATTCCATTCTACAATGTAAGAGCCACAATTACATAATTGTAGCAATAACCTGGGGCGAGCAAATCCTGTGGACAGAAGACTAGCAGCAGCCTTGCATATGGCTCACCCAAAGATACTATTAATAAGTACTTGACCAAGACTGGAGAGGCTCTTGTCTCATAACCCAGACAAGAGGATGTGGCTTATCCAGACACCGGGACCAGGTGGTCCAGTTCACTCTGGATCAGGTAACAACTGCTTAGGTCCAAATTCTAGTTCCCCCACTTGACAACCTAGTCATTTAGAGTAGTCTTTTTATTTCCATCTCGGTTTAATATTTAACTTTTATACATATAACACACTGCATCACCATGTAAGGATATTCATCCAAGTTAGGTTCTACACAAGGATTTTTGACTGAGAGATGGAGTGGGAGCTGAAATCCTACCTGGGAACCATTCACCAAGCCTTGTACATGACAGAGTGCTGCACTGCCCGAAGAAAAAAGGTTTTGTGGGCTAGCCACCACTAAGGATAATCACTTATTGAACTAAGGGATATTCTCTATTTCCTCTGCTAAATACCCAGACAGTCTCTCTGAACCCATAGCTGATATGCCTACCCTGCTGTTTTCATCAACTGTTAGCTACATTTGTTTACAAACCTGGCTTGCCCATTAACATAACTATGTCCTCTTATTAAGTATTATCTAAACCAATGAAACATAAATGCAAAAAGATTTTCTTTCTATGGAAACTAAGTTGAATACTGGGGAAAATCACAACAAAGGCAATAAATCTTAAAAATTATTGTCCAATTAGGTATGGATGAAACAACCCTAAGTGATTGGGGGAATTTACAATATCCAGAAGGATTCTTGGAAGTGCTTTAGGTTTTGATTTCACTTTGAAGAAGCTAAATCTAGAAATTACAGATGATGCATTATGTATGAGGTTTGTGTAAGGAAAACAACATACAATTCCAATCAGTGGGTTCACACTCATAAAAGGCTACATCAAAGTGTTGGTAAAACAATGTGTATTTAAGTTAAAATTAAAGGGCCAAGTTCTGTGTTATTTAATTATCAACTCATTCCATTGATTTCCCAATAGCTGCATCTTTAAAGACAAGTCTTCCTGGCTCTGGTTGCCTCATAAGATTTTTTTTCAAGGTCAGATGAGAACGATGAGTAAGGAAGTATTTTGCAAATAAGAGAAGACTACACAAGTTGGCTTGGAAGGAGTTATCTTGTTTTGTTCTTTGATGCTCAGCACAATGCCCTGGGCATAGTAGGTGACCCATGAATTGTGATAGAAGTGTGTCTCAGCATCACCAGCTTCTCCCAAGTACCCTTTCCTGCCAGTACCACCCTTCCAGATGTCGAGAATCCCCCAGTCCTCTGTTGGAGGAGTTATTCATTAAGGGAATGCTAGCAGCTGCTACAAACAAACGGGGCTTAACGCAGAAGCAGCTTATTTCTCACTCCCTGTAATAATCCAATGCAACACTTTTCCTTGATGTGGTGCCTCAGGAACCCAAGTTGTCCCAACCCCTAGGGCGTCGGTGCTCTGCAGTCAGTGTGCAGATGAGAAATGAGAGAAGAGGGTTTTCTATAGGGAGGCAGCCACTCATTGCTTCTGCTCCTCACGGTTGGTTCTGATGTGGCTGGACCTGGATGCAAGTGTTCTGGAAAGTGTAGTCCCGGACCAAGCGGCTGCCTGCCAGCAACAGCTGCTAGCCATCTCAGCCTCCACAGGCTGTAACTCCCTCGGGGCAGTCCACACGGGACTTGGCAAAGTTTTAAGCACAATCTTTTGTCCAGTTGGACAACCCATGAGCAACACGTAGGTAGGTATCAATGGAAAATCCACACCTTACATCAGTGAGGCAAAAAGCTAAATTCACTCCTCAACCCAGGCAAGGGGCTTTGTTCTCTTGGATGGTGACAGTTTTGCATGCATTGATGGCATCTGCATGTTGGCTTGCTTGGTATGCACAAAAATCAGATGGGCAAAGGAAATGCAGTGTCTTTCATGCATAACTGATCTGATTTTTTTCCTTAGCCCCCATGCACTTGGTAACACAGTTTGAGCAAGGACTCTCTTCTAGCATCCATGGTGCTCCCTGGCTGAGTGGTCTTCCCCTCAGCTCTGGGTCCTTCCCTGCATCCCTCTGAGTCTCTGCCACATCCTCCACTTGCCCCTGGCCTCTGCCCCCTCCCAGGGCCTCTGCTCACTCATTGCCTTGGTAGGATCCAAAGAGACCCAGGGGGTGCCAACACAGTTATTTTCTGTAATTCCCACTCTTTACGGCGCATATGGAAATTTCTGGGATTCATCTATGGTGCATGGGAACCTAGAGCAGTTCAAGAAAGCACTGGCTAGGTTAGCAGGTTTACTTTACAGGGTGGGGCAAGGGGAACTTGGGAGGTAGTGTCCTTCCAGACTCCCAAACTCAGCAAATTTCTTGCCCTCAGAACTCCCCTTCCTGTACGAAGACAAAGCCCACTGGGGTGATCTAAGCACAGAGTCAAAGCCCATACTCCTACAGCCTTCTCTTTCTACAATCTACTTGGCTAGGAATATGTATCAGCTGTGTTCCTCCAAATGGCCAGGAACTCTCTTACATAAAACTCATCGCAACCAGGATTGCCCTTTGCTTGTTAAAGCTGCCAGGAGTATGACACGGGGATGGTACCTATTTTCTTGATTCTAAAAACAACAACAACAACAGAGATCTAATTTGACAGTTGAAGCTAAACAAGCACTACATCGTTTTAGGGGTTATCTGCCCTCATCTGAAGCTCTGAAACTTGTTCCTTCTAAGTTGGAAAGCCCTAGGGTAGCCAGATTTGCAGGCCATGGGAATTCACATAAAATTATTTCAGGCCGGGCACAGTGGCTCACACCTGTAAACCCAACACTTTGAGAGACTGGGGAAGGTAGGTAACTTGAGCCCAGGAGTTCAAGACCAGCTTGGGCACCATGATGGATAACCCATCTCTACAAACAATAAAAACAATAAAGAAAGAATTAGCTGGATGTGGTGGCACACACCTATAGACCCAGCTACTCAGGAGGCTGGAGTAGTAGAATCGCTTGAGGGAAGATCAAGGCCGCAGTGAGCCAAGATCTAACCACTGCACTCCAGCCTGGGTCACAGAGCCAGACCTTGTCTCAAAATAAACAAACAAAAAATAGATTTAAAATAAGTTATTTCTACGACAGAGGTGAAGTGAAGTGATGGGAGTTGAAGTGAATGGAGTAGAGGACTTATTATTGAGGGACTGGTAGAAGGAAGAGTTGGTTAAAAATGGTGGCAACAAATGATGGCAGAGCTAAAAAGCCTGAATAAGGCCATTAGACTTGATTTTACACAAAGCATAAGACTTGGAGTTGGACAGACCTAGGGCCAGCTCTTGTTTCTTCTACTTACTACTTAGGGAAAAATCACTCAACTTTGTGAGTTTCTGATTGTCTCTGGCGGGCTTAACTTAGGGGATAATTAGGATTACTTTCCCTACAGAGTTGTTGTAAGGACCAGATTCACACAAAGGTATACTATGTAGCTCCAAAATATATGAGGAAGCTCTTCATTTACTAATATGAAAACAACACCAAGACATATTGTTTAAGTGTGAAGAAGCAAGATATAACCTACTATATACATTAGTTTGCTAAGGCTGCCAGAACAAAGTACCACACAGTGGGTGGCTTAAACAATCAAATTTCTTTCCTCAGTTCTAAAGGTAAGAAGTCCAAAATCAAGGTATTAGCAGGTTTGGTTTCTTATTCGGAGGCCTCCTTTCCTTGTCTTCCAGATGGGTGTCTTCTGTGTCCCCACATGCTCTTCCTTTTGTGTTAGTGTCCTAATCTCCTCTTACAATGACACCAGTCCTATTGGATCAGTCCTACCCATATCATCTCATTTTACATTTAAATTATATCTAGAAATTACAGAGGATGCATTATGCATGAGGTTTGTGTAAGGAAAACAATGTACAATTCCAATCAGTGGGTTCACACTCATAAAAGGCTACATCAAAGTGTTGGTAAAACAATGTGCATTTCAGTTAAAATTAAAGGGCCAAGTTCTGTCTTATTTTATTATCAACTCATTCCATTGATTTCCCAATAGCTGCATCGTTAAAGATGAGCCTTCCTGGCTCCGGTTGCCTCATAAGATATTTTTTCAAGATCAGATGAGAATGATGAGTAAGGAAGCATTTGTAAATAAGAGAAGGCTACACAAGTTGGCTTGGAAGGAGTTGTTATCTTGTTTCGTTCTTTGATGCTTAGTACAATGCTCTGGGCATAGTAGGTGACCAATGAATTGTGATAGGAGTGTGTCTCACGTCGCCAGTTTCTCCCAAGTACCCTTTCCTACCAGTACCACTCTGTCCTACCACCATTCCTACGCATATCATTTCATTTTACCTTTAAATTGTATCTTTAAAGACCCTATCTCCACATATAGTTGCATTTTGAGGTACTAGGGTGCTATGTTCTGAATGTGTGCGTCCCCCCAAAATTTCTATGTTGAAATCCTAACTCCCAGGATAGTATTAGGTAGTGAGGCCTTTTGGAGGTGATGACCTCATGAGGACTCTGTTCCCTTATGAAAGAGACTCCAGAGAGCTTCCCTGCCCTTTCTACCTTGTGAGGACACAGCAAGAGGTGCTGTCTTTGAACCAGAAAGTGGGCCTGCACCAGACATGGAGTCTACCGATAAGTCCCAGCCTCCAAAACAGACAGAAATACATTTCTATTGTTTATAAGCCACCCAGTTTATGCTATTTGTTATAACAGCTTGAGCAGACTAAGACATTGGAGCGAGTACTTCAACACAGATAATTTATCCCATAGCAGTGTTTATAGAAAACATCCACACAAAGGCCTGTACTCAAATGGCCATAGCAGCTTGACTCATCATCACCATCACTGGGAACACACAAGTGTCCATCAGTTGGTGAATGGGGGAGTAAATGGCGGTGCCTTCATTTATACACTGTGAAGGGAATGGCAGAAAGTCTATTTTAAACTGAAAACATTTAGACAATCCATAGCTGCAGAGAGAAGTCTTACCTGAACTTCCCATTAATTATTAAAGCAGATTTTCCAAGAATTTAGCTGCCACAAACGCCCCTCTGTGGGATTTTCCTATAAATTAGGAAGCTGACTTCTAGCACTGGGAGCTAGCACTGAGACATCTAAGAAACTGTGTAAACAAACCTAATGAAAACATTTTATACCTTACTGCTAAAGCCTCACCTCACCACCTTAATAAGCTGATATTTAAGCCCTTATCCTTAGGTATCTGCAGAACCACTCTTTATAAAGTGCTCCCAAACGCATTTGTAAGAACCCTTTTCTCCTGTTAATATCTTTGTCAATTAATTCACAGATCCCCAACCACTCAAACCCAAATAGGTAGTGGAAAAGTTTTTCCTCCAAACAAGCAGAATATTACTAAACAATAAAAATGAACAAGCTTCTTATACACGTATCTCAAAAGCATTATGGCAAGTGAAAGAAACCTAGCAAAGCAGCCTACATATTATATAATTCCATTTATTCGACATTATTTTTTAAAAGGCAAAACTAGGCCAATGCTTGTCAGGTTGCTGGGGTGGAGGGAGAGATTTAACTTAAAGAGGGGGATGAGAAAACATTTTGGAACGATGGGGCTGCTGTACACCACAATTGTGGCGGTGGTTACCTAACATTGTTAAAGTTCATTGAGGCCGGGCATGGCAGCTCACGCCTGTAATCCCAGCACTTTGGGAGGCTGAGGCGGGTGGATCACCTGAGGTCAGGAGTACAAGACCAGCCTGACCAACACGGTGAAACCCCATCTCTACTAAAAATACAAAACATTAGCCAGGTGTGGTGGCAGGAGCCTATAATCCCAGCTACTTGGGAGGCTGAGGCAGGAGAATCGCTTGAACCCAGGAGGCAGAGGTTGCAGTGAGCTGAGATGGTCCCACTGCACTCCAGCCTGGGTGACACAGTGAGACTTTGTCTTAAAAAAAAATTTCATTGAGTTGTATGCTATGAAACGGTGGATTCTATTCTGTGTAAATTATACCTCAATAAACCTCATATTTTAAGGTACTGTAAAATTGTCCTTTTCTATTAAAAACTTGGAGGCTGAGAAATGATGTTGTATTTTTCTCCATTTATATACATGAAGTCTGTATGGAAACTGAATAGTGTAACAATAGCAGCTGCTTGGGAGTAAGGGAGGAAAATGGAATCTTAAGTATATGGAAGACAAGGATGTCATGACAGAGACTTTATACTGAATACCTACGCACAGTTTCTGTTTCTGAACCAGGAGAATGTACTACCCATTCAAAAGATTAAATTTAGCACAAATTAATCATTTTAATGAGCCAATGAATGTGGAAGAACTTTGTAAACGCTAAGCATGCAAAGGCTGTTTATTATAGGGAGAAAGTCTTTTTTAAATGTATGAAAATAGGAGTGGATTTGTTTAAATAAACGTTTCTTTGCTGCTTAATATTTGCTAGATGAGCATTTCCCAAAATGGAATCCATTCTTCCGCGTGCTGCATGACAAAGTGTTCTAAGGTCAGGAATGCTTGGGGAACAGTTTTCTGTACCAACTTCGGGAGTTTCCCAATCACGTTAGCTTTTTCACTGTCCTGGGGGTCCTACAATAAGAAGGCCGGCTTGATTTCATTTCACCCAAACTACACTAAACGTATTCGATGGTGCAATGCATTTTTCCCGGCACATTTGTCTGGGCTACTTTTTCCACAGAGCATAGTTTGAGAAAAGCAACTCTGGGCCTGTGTTGGTGACATTTTGGGAGGGAAGCCCAGGCCAGGGTCTACATTCTAGGTCATGGCTGGCAGAAGCCTGGGTTACTTGAGTAGGAGGGGCCAGAAGGAGGAAGAGTAGGTATGGCAGGGAGGTCACTTGAGCCTCTGGGAGGAGATGCATACTACCCCATGTAACCTGCTATCCACAGAGCATTTGGCATTCCCTGCTTAACTTCCTCCCCCTTCTGCTGAGAAATCAAAAACAAAGCCTTTAGGATAAGTTCTCAAAGAGTAGAGCCATCAGAACATTGGAGGGCTGGACATGGTGGGAGGACATGACACATTAGGACTGTGTCACATGCAGTGGTACTCCAGAGGGAGGGGAGAGCTTTCAATAACTAGGAGATGATGTGGACAGGAAGACATAAATGGAGAGTTCTTCAGCATGGAAGAATGAGAGATTTTGCTCCAGGAATTCCAGCATTGCAAAGAGGAAGCATGGTTGGGAACTTCCATCTGAGCTTCTGTGGGTAATGTACTTAAACATCCTTCCGTGCTTCAGAGGGTCACAATTGAAGATGAGGCTTATAACTCTTAAGGCTTTGAGTCTTGGAATGAGAAATGGCTTTGGCCACAAGATACCTGGAATCCTATTATAATATTTTGTAAACATTAAAGCTAGAGTAAGTCAAGTGAACATATTTACTTAATGTCTTGCCTAGTAAGATAAATTTGCCTAATAAGAAGTACAGAGGCTGGGAAAGGAACAGGAGAGGACCTTTCCACCCTTCATAGAGTGTTTTGAAATAGAATTTGAAATAGAAAATTTCTGTCCCACAGTGGCACCTATGAAAACTCAAGGTCTCAGGTTTTAGGAGCTCTGTACCAACATGTATATGCAATATGCATTGTAGTTTCAATTTGCATTTCCCTGACAATTAGTAATACTGAGCATTTTTTTTTTTTTTTTTTTTGAGATGGAGTCTCACCTTCACCCAGGCTGGAGTGCAGTGGCGCAATCTCAGCTCACTGCAACCTCCGCCTCCTGGGTTCAAGTGATTCTCGTGCCTCAGCATCCCAAGTAGCTGGGATTACAGGCATGCACAACGATGCCCAGCTAATTTTTTGTATTTTTAGTAGAGATGGGGTTTCGCCATGTTGGCCAGGCTGGTCTCAATCCCCTGACCTCAGATGATCCACCTGCCTCAGCCTCCCAAAGTGCTGGGATTACAGGCATGACCCACTGCACCTGGCCTCTATTGGCCATTTCTGTGTCTCCTTTTGAAAAATGTCTATTCAGGTCTGTTGCCCATTTTTAAACTAGTTATATTTTTTGTGGTTGAGTTTCTTATATATTTTAGATATGATCCCCTTATCAGATACATAGTTTGCAGATATTTTCTCCCATTCTGCAGGTTGTCCCTGTGCTCTGTTGGTTGTTTCTTTTGCCATGCATAAGTTTTTTAATTTGATGTAATCCCATTTCTCTATATTTGCTTTTATTGCCTGTGCTTCTAATGTTTTATACAAAAAAAATCCTTGTCTAGACCAATATCACGGAGATTTTCCCATATGTTTTCTTCTAGTAGTTTGGTAGTTTTGGGTGTTAAATTTAAGTCTTTAATCCATTTTGAGTTAATTTTTGGGTATGGTGAGAGGTAAGAGTCTAGTTTTATTCTTCTGCATGTGGATATCCAGTTTTTTCAGCGATATGTATTGAAGAAGCTGTCCTTTCCTAATAGTGTGTACTTGATACCTTTGTTGAAAAATGAATTGGCTGTAGATGCATCAGTTTATTTCTGGGCTTTCTATTCTGTTCCACTGGACTATGGTTTCTTTGTTGTTTTTTCTGTTTGTTTTTAATGCTAGTACCACACCGTTTGGTCACTATAGCTCTGTAGTATATTTTGAAGTCAGGTAATACGACGCCACCACCTTTGTTATTTTTGCTCAAGTTTGCTTTGGCTATTCAGGGTCTTTTTTGGGTCCATATGAATTTTAGGCCTGTTTTTTTTTTATTTCTGTGAAGAACGTCATTGGTATTTTGACAGGGATTGCATTGAATCTCTAGATTGCTTTGGGTTATATGAATGTTTTAACATTAATTCTTCCAACCCATGAACACTGCATATCTTTCCATTTTTTGTGCCTCTCCAATTTTTTAAATCAATGTTTTGTTTTCAGTGCACAAGTCTTTCACCTCCTTGGTTAAATTTATTCCTAGATATTTTTTGTAGCTATTATAAAAGGAATTTTTTATTTTTCAGATAATTTTCTAATCCTGTATAAAAATGCTACTTATTTTTGTGTGTTGACTTAGTGCCCTGCAAGTTTACTAAATTCATTTATTAGTTCTAATGGTTTCTTGGAGGAGTCTTTGTGGTTTTCTATATATAAGATCATGTCATCTATAAACAGGGACAATTTTACTTCCTTCTTTCCAATTTGGGTGCCCTTTGTTTACAAATTTCTCTTGCTTGATTGCTCTGGCTAGGACTTCCAGTACTATATTGAATAAAAGTGGGGGAAGTGGACATCCTTGCCTTGTTCCAGATCTCAAAGAGAAAGCTTTCGGCTTTTCTCCACTTATTATAATGTTAGCTGTGGATTTGTTATAAACAGCCTTTATTATGTTGAGGTTTGTTCCTGCTGTTATACCTAATTTTTGAGAGTTTTTATGATAAAGAGATGTTGAATTATGTATTTGTTCATAGTTTTACATGGCACAGGAGACTTCAGATTGAAGGCCCAAAGATACAGGGAAGACTACCCGTTTGTATGCTTAGGTTCAATAAAGAATGGATAGTCGTGAACTATGACTGGACAAAAAGAGTACAATCTAATGCTAATAGACTGAGTGGGGAAACTCAGCAAGGCCCGTCTGTTCAAATTCTTCAGGCCTCTCTGTGCTGTACTCCTTCTTCCCAAGTATAGGGTAGCACCCTTTCTGGAATGGGGGTCTTTTGACCTACAATCAAACAAGGTATGCACAGAATTTATTTATGGTCAGTTCTTACACAGAAAAGCAGGGGAAATTTAGAGTAATATTTTTATGTTTTATCGCTGGCTTTAGAGAAAAGGGGTTCTGATTTCTAAGACCCCACCTTAGGAAGAAGGATACTAGTTTCTATGGCTAGCCTTGGGGGACAATAAGAGGTGAGAGACAGGGAGGCAGGAGAAGGTCAGAGAGAAACTCTACTTCTGAGGCTGGTCCTGAGACCCTTATTTTTGGGCTCATTTTCATGAGCCCCAGCACTATACCCTCTTTCCAACTCTTCTGTACATATAAAATTATTCTCAAATACAAAAATTATTTGTATATCTATATCTGTCCTATCTTCATCCAAAGCCCATGTACCAAAGCAAGTGACACCTTCACTTTCCTAAATGTGGCAAATTCCAGGCATTCAAGAAATACACCTTGACCTTGTACACAGCACCCACCTTCCCATTCACACTCTTCGTGAATCACCACAGCATCAAGTTTTGGATCCTTCTTCCCTTTCTCCTACTCCTGATAGGATTGAGCTGAAAGCTCTAAAGTGGAGATCAGCAAACTATGTATGGTCTGTGGGCAAAATCTGGCCCACAGACTGTGTTTGTAAATAAAGTTTTATTGGGACATAGCCATGCTCATTCATTTACATATTGTCTATGGCTGCTTTCACACTATGATGGCAAAGTCAAGTAGCTGCAACAGAGACCAAATGGCCTGCAAAACCTGAAATATTTACTATCTGCCTTCCAGAAAGTTTGCAAACTCTTGCTCTAAACTTAGAATTCTCCCTCTTCAACCAGGCACTACTCTAGAAAGCTGAGTTCTATGGTTCTCTCTGGCTGCAGGCAAGAGAATGGTGCCCAAGGAAGATCTCTCTTTCTCTGTCTGTCATACACACATACATACAGCACTCTATAAAAATAACAAATCAGTTTGATTTGATCTTCCTGAGCACCCACTCAGCATCAAGGGAGGCTTCTGAGCTGCAGGACAGCTCCCACCAGTGGTTGGTCACAGTTTGTAAACACCTTAATGAAACACACTTTTAAGCATACCCCGTTGAGTAGCTGCTTCCTTGCAGGGGTGCCTGGTCTGACTCTGTCAGATGCTTCCTGTCTTTCATGCAGGTGTCTGTCAGCAACAGGGTTTTTCTTTGTCTTCCTATGAAGCTGCTTTGGTTTTTGTTTCTTTCAGTGCATTTTTCCAAAAAAAAAAAAAAAGTCTCCCCACCAGTCTTAGACTACTGTCTGAACAGAGACAAAACACAGAATCACTTTTGGCCAAAAGCTCCTTGCAGAAACGGTCTGGTTTGTTCTTTGAATCCCTTAAGTTTGTGTGATAACTGAAAAAGGGTAGGAGTACAGTAACAGTTTGTTTGTTGAATTAGATTGAATTTTGATGAATTATTGAATCATATTTCATGCCTAATGTAAGCCACGTCATGACCGCTTTTACCAGCTTCAGGGACAGATGTAGCTACTTCTATTTTCCCAATTAACACTTTAATCTCTGACTCCAGTCTCCATAGATTTGAAGGCTGGAGTGAAAATTTACAAGGTCTGTGACTTTAGGCTAGTTGCTTAACCTCTCTGTTTCTCCATTTTCTCATCTGTTAAACAGAAATGATGATTTCAATTTAACCTCTCTAAAACGAATTATAATAAACCTCTCTACAATGAATTATATAATTATATAATAACCTCTCTCAAACGAATTATATAAACCTCTCTAAAACAAATTATAATAAGGATTACATGTAGAGTAACTGTAATGTCAGGAAAATACTATTAATAAGAAAATCAATATTTTATCCGATACTCACCTCACTGCCCATGAAACATTTAAATAACTAGGGGTTTGTTCACTTCAGAGGGATTAGTCAGTCCTCATTCCAAATGCCAGGTGGATGGATGCAGACGGTCAGTGATCAATGCACTAGAAGGTATCAATTTTTTTTTTTTTTTTGAGGTGGAGTTTCACTCTTGTTGCCCAGGCTGGAGTACAATGACGTGATCTCAGCTCACCACAACCTCTGCCTCCCAGGTTCAAGCGATTCTCCTGCCTCAGCCTCCTGAGTAACTAGGATTACAGGCATGCACCACCACGCCCGGCTAATTTTTGTATTTTTAGTAGAGACGGGGTTTATCCTTGTTGGTCAGGCTGGTCTCGAACTCCCAACCTCAGGTGATCTGCCCACCTCAGCTTCCCAAAGTGCTGGGATTACAGGCGTGAGCCACCGCACCCAGCCAGGTATTGATTTTTAATGACCAGTTTCTTATAGCTTCTGAACAGTTTCACTGTTGAAAGCTGGTCTTTCCAGGAAGATGGGCTCTTGTCCACTGTTGCAATCATGTCCTTGCTGGTTTGGCTCCTTCTGAAGCTCCATCTTGAGGCCGTGCCTTAGCCCAGGAGGAGGAGGAGGACATTCTAGAAAGAGGCTGCATTTTGTACAGGCAAACACAAAGTGTCCGTGATGCAGAATGACCTGCAAGGAGTGTGAAACGGCTAGTGCCAAGTGCTAGACAACAAGGCAGTGGAGCTGGCATGTCTAAGGGCTCCACATGTCCTGATAAGAAAGCTGGACTTTATCCTGTAGAACACAGGTTGAAAATTGATGACCCATAGATTTATGGTTTTTAGTTTTCACTGTATTTCCAAAATATGTTTTTAATTTAGTAGATGTATTCGTCAGCTTAGGCTAAATTATCACAGGAAGAAATGGCCTGCAAATTTAGTGGCATTCAACATTGAGCTTTCTTTCTTGCTTGTGTTTACATCTGTTGTGGGCTGACTTCAGCCCTGAGACAAAGGCCAATGGAGGGAGCAAGCTCTGTCTGGGATGTGCATTTGAAGGAATCAAGAGCCAACCAAAGTGATATGAAGATTATTTTAGACTAAAAAATCTGAATAGACAGCAGTCGCAGAAAGAACCATTATTTAAACTTAAGCAGAACCTTCTAAAAATTCATCTGCCATTAAACTCCTCCCAGGGATTCTCCTGTTTGAAAAAGACAGGCCCTTAGCCCCAGGAAGTATGAATTCAGCTGCCATAAACCTCCACTACCGGGAAACTTCCAGCCAGCAAGAAAACAGACTGCCCATTCCATTCGCATCCAAAAAACCAATGGACTATTCCATTCTCTCCCATGAAAGCCCTAAAAACCCATTTCGGTTGAAACATATCAACCTTTTCTTGGGATTCTTCCTCAAGTTTTCCATTACTGGGAGCTCCACTTATGCATGTATGAAAATAAACCTTGTCTTTTCTCTTGTTAATCTGTCAGCCCTCTGATCATTTCAGACCTAAATTGGTAGAGGAAAATTTTACCTTTTGCAACAAAGGGAAAGAAGGGTGGGAGAACCATGCATTGGCTCTAGAACTTCTGCTTAGCAATGGCACACATCAATAACGCTACTCACATGTCATTGGCCATAGTATATCATGTGGCAAAGCCCACCACACTAGCCAATATTTACAACTTGACACTCATGGAAAAGCCAGAATTTCCAGATTTTCTTGAAGAAAAGAAATCAAAATACCAGCAACATGAGGCTCTGTCTCTATGCCGTAGCCATTAGCCGGGGCTGGGCTTCAGCCACGCCTTTTAGGCAATGTGTGCTTCTTCCTCTCCTGCCTCAGTCCCTGCCCTCCTGCTCACTCATCTGGGTTACCTGCCCAGCTCAGATAAAGCAAATGAGTTTGTATCCCTGGACCAAGGAGCAGCCACTGGAGAGAAAAAGGACAAGGTGTCTGGACCAGCTCTACTTTCCAGACAGTTTAATAGTCTGAACTTGAGAGAAAGCCCAGGGCACAGCCCTGACACTGGGTAGGAAGTTACTGCAATAATCCCTAATCCAGCATGAGAATGTACTTTACAAAAATAGGGACAAAACACTCTGTCCACTGTTCTTCACCTGTGGAATGGCCATCCAGAAGCAGCCTGCAAGAGCCCACAGAAGGATGCTCTGTCACAGTTGCCTTGAGGCAATTAAAGCATCCTGGAGTGGGCTGGGGGCAGGGCAGAGAAAAGAAAAGAAAAAAAAAACGTGACATTAGAAAGCTTGGGTTTAAATATTAGGTTGGTGCAAAAGTAATTGTAGTTTTTGCTGTTACCTTTATGGCAAAAACCACAATTACTTTTGCACCAACCCAGTATTCTCTCCCCGCCCCACCCCACCCCCCCTAAAACAAACACCTACATGCTTCCCAGTGTCATCCAAAAGAACACCAGGAGAGCTTTATTGGTGATATCAGCTTGCACACCAGGAAGAGAGAGTCTCCAGACCAGAGGTGCTCTCTTTTTGAAGAGGTGAAGGGCAGGTTGGGTTTGACGCCTCATGGGGTCCATATTATACAATAGAAGCATACATATTTAGCAGGTTTGGAGAAAAGCCACACAAATTTATGAGAGAGGGGTGGAGTGCAGGCACAAGGCATGAACAACATACATCCCTTGTTCACTTTGAAGCAGGGTTTCAGCATTAAATTGAGGTAGAATTTGGCTCTTTCCGTCGAAAGCTGAACTATAGGACACAAAGATAGCTTGTGTGTAGCCTCTGTCAGCGGGCTGAAACCGGCTTGAGGTCTTCAGTTGCTTATCAGGAAAGAATGTTTGTAAGGCCAGTCCTCTGTCCAGTCAGAGTTGCAATGGTCTAGGTTGTAAATCAGAGTTAGGAGGGATCTGATAACTCCTATTGCTAAGGAATTTAGCAAGAGTGTGGTTTTTCGTATAGCCGTAGGAATTTTGGAAATTGCCATGCCAGCAGTCCTAAACCCTGGACCCATAGGTCTTTTGTTTTCTTCACCTTGGAGCCCATTTTAGTGGACAAAGGGACATCTATTTTGGTCTCTCAGATCGCACCAGGGAACTGAAGCTGGACCCCAAATGGTGCCTCTCTCCAAAGCTAAAGGGGAGGGAGCCATTGTAACCAGTGTGGTTAAAGAGCGAGTTCCCTCTCTGATCCTCTCCCCCCACACCACCCCCACCTGCTGCCCCTTCCTCCTCTAACCCGATATTGACCTAAATTAAGTTTTCAAAGGCTCTGTGCTGATTTTTGCTGAAGAGCATTGAATTCAATAAAACATAATTATTGATTTAATTAAAATAGTTGCTCTGTAAGGAGCAAAGCTTTTTTAATAGCCAGTAAAGATGGAACAGCCCTCATTCATTTCCAGTGTAGCTTCTGAAACAAATCGGGCTGCTTTTTTTAATAGGCCAATTCCAAGTGCAGCTTTGAAATAGATCCTCTAGCCATTCATATGCAGTAATTCAACCAGCGAATTAGGTGCCTTTCTCATTGGCTGCCTTTCGGGATGGGGGAAGAGGAGGTGCTATGAGCCTAGAGCCCAGACTATGAGATGAATAATTCATAACCCTTCTTCTGGGGCTCCTCTGTGTTCCCTTCTGCTTCCTTGTACTTACATTTGAAAGGAAACTAGAGCTGGGGACTGTTACACTGTGGGGCTCCACATCCTCTCTTGATCTCTGTGCAGAGGAGCTGCCTGAGAGGCCCAGCAGCCTTCCAGGAACCTAGGACCCTGGATCCTCACCATCCAGAAGAATCAGACACCTCGAGGGCTGAACACTTAGCACTGCAAAGAAACAGGAACACAGAGACCAAAGGGAGAGTTTCCACTCCTGGGCACATGGAAGCAGGGCCTGTAAGGGTACAGCAAAGCAGGCCCCCTCTCCTGCTCCACCTGCCTTCCGCACCTGCCATTACAGGCTAGCCAGCCTCTGCATGGGCACACACGCACATCACTTCTATTAACAAAAGAGAATAATGATGCATCCTTGGAGAAGACATTAATGAGGTGATGACACATTTTTATTTAAATGCCTTATGTAGATTATTAATCCATTTCTCCTGGAAAGATAGACAGTGCCACATTATAAATGTGAGACAAGCCAGTGTATATCTGAAGGCACACATGGACGCACGCACATGCACACACACATGCCCACACAGACATCGTTTCCCCAGGTCCTGATGAGGCTCTTCAGTGCCAACTGCAGCCCTGAGACAGAAGCTAAAGCCGTCATTTCTTACAGCCTGAATGTTCATCTCAAAATCTCTGTTAAGTCTGGGCCTTATTAAAGAAAATAATTATTCAGTGACACTGGTTAAAGCATGGTAAGGAAGACTTTATTCGGGACCATCATGATAGGTACCGGGACCTATCAATGGGGTCCTGCAGTGGGGGAGAGAGATTGGACTCAACTCCAAATACAGCACTGGAGAATGGGAATTTATCACCAAGGAGCAGAGTGGGGTCAGTGAACGAAGAATCCTTAAGAGGGAACATCCTCATGGGTAAGGGGGATTCTGGCTAAACTGACCTCACAGAATTCTGAAGATGGGCCAGGGTGATCAGACATTACCCAGGGGATGGTGGAGGATGAGGAACTTGATCAGATATCAAGGATGGGGGGTTCCTACCAAACCAACTTAACAGTGTTCTTTGTTAAAACTGGATTTTACAAGGAAATGCACAGGCGAATTTGGAGAAGGTTCAGGATCCTGACTAAAGTTTGGTGAAGTGAAGAATCTTGATCAGTCTCAAGCTGGAAAGGAAGTCTTTATGCAAAACAGACCACCATAATGTGAGTTTTGCAGTAGAGGAGAGAGATCAGGCTCAACACCAAATACAACAAAGTCAAGTGGAGATTTATAGCCAAGAAGCAAGGTAAGGGGCAGTGGATGGAAAATTACTAAGAGAAAACATCAAGGCTAGGGAGATTCTTGCTAGAGCAACTCAACAGGATTCTTGCTGAAGGCAGGCCAGGGTGATAAGATATGGAGGATGGGGATGGGAAATTTGACAAGATATCAAGGGGTGAAGATTTTCACCAAACGCAGCAGGATTCTTGCTAAAACTGGAGTAAGCAGGCCAAGGATAGAGTCATCAAAAAGAGGACTCAGGCCAGAGGCTCATGCCTGTAATCTCAACATTTTGGGAGGCCAAGACAGAAGGATTAATTGAGGCTAGAGTTCAAGACAAGCCTTGACAACATAGCAAGGCCCCCTCTCTATAAACAATTATCTGGGTGTGGTGGTGCACATCTATACTCCTAGCTACATGGGAAGCTGAGATGGGAGGATCATTTGAACCCAGGAGTTCAAGGCTGCAGTGAGCCATGATTGCACCACCGCACTCATGGCACCATGCTGGGCAACAAAGTAAGACTGTCTCAAAAAAGAAAAAAGAAAAAAAATGATTTAGAGGGACTAGGGACTCAGAGGAGCCCGATTTAAGTTTGGTCAAAAAGAGTCTTCGTCACCATCAGGACCTGTGAGCATTCCCTAGACCTCAGCATGCCCATATTCCAACAGGAAACCTTGTGATGGGGGTCAGTGTTCAGCTGATGGCTATAAGAAGTCACTGGTGTGGCTGGGGGTAGAGGCATGTGCCTGTTGTCCCAGCTACTAGGGAGGCTGAGGAAAGGAGTTTGAGGCTGCAGTGAGCTGTGATCACAAGCCATTGCAATCCAGCCTGGGCAACAAAAGAGACCCTGTCTTAAAAAAAAAAAAAAAAAAAAAGTCAGATCCAAAAGCCTGCATTATCCACAGGACTAGACATGAAAGGAAAAAAAAGTCACTGGTCACTGGTGTAGAGGCGGCACATGCATGGCAGCCCATTTACAGTCAGGAGGCAGCATTCAACAGACACTGTTAATCTTCATAGCAACTGCCCCTCTCCTATTCCAGCACCTGTCCTTCATTTCCCCATTGCCTGCAGTAGCTCCTGTATTTTGCTAAAACTAGAGACACCTCCTCCACTGGGCTTTCAGAGTCTACCTCCTGGTATCAACACTGGATGCCACTAACATTCTCGTCTATTTAAAAAAAAAAAAAACTAAAATGATATTTATCATTGATAAATATCAATGATATTTATTATAATAAAATGACCACTTATTGAGCACATATATGCCAGGCATTATCCTAAGTACAGAGTATATATTACCTTTATCAATCCCCACCACAAGCCCTGTGAAGTAGATACTGTTACTATCACTATTATTGTTATTATACATACACATATATTGTAGATAAAATAATATGTTCAAGTTCAGAACATTAATAACTGGCAAAGATAGGATTCTATTCTGGTCTGCTTGGTTTCACCACACTGCTTGCTTGGGACTTTCTAAAACTAAACCTATAATTACTATTCTCACTTTGGAAATGCAGAAATTGAGGCACAGAGAAGTTAAATTGCTCAAGATGCCACAAGAAGAAACTAGAAGATGGAATTTGAACCCCAACCATTGAAATCCAGAGTTCAAGCACATACCCACTGCAATATATTGAGGATAGGCAATCAAGCACTTACATCTCCATCCATACTGCTGGAGAGGACATCAGAGGCCATCTGTTCCCAATTATTTTCTCCATAGAAACAAACAATGGATGTCAAATCAGGATCTTGGTGGAGAAACAGGGTGTCATGTTTTTCCTGCAGAGTCATAATGAAACCTAATCAGTATTTGGGGAGAAGGCTTCCATTTCTTTCCATCACCTGAACTTTATTCTGGGATGGCTTCAATGGGCCTCTCCCTTCACCTTTCATTCCAAATCTCTTTAGGAAGCAAAACATATTCTGCTTTATTTAAGGAGTTACCAATTACCACAGGGAGCAAAGGTGCCAATAAAACAAAGGTATATGCTGCTATTCTGCTTTATAAAAGGCAAACTCTCATCCACCTACTCACACCTTACAGTAAAAGTAACCAACGAGGTGGAAGATGGCTCTTCAAATGTTCTAAAAACATAATTGGAGCCAAAGGAAATATACCAAGACCAAGAGAATGAGATGTTATGGAGACCTTCACCGTAACATCACTGTAGGCTTATGTCAAACATAGAGGTGCTAAACGTATAATTATTGTATATAGGGAACCATATGCAATGTCATTTCAAGAGCAAGTGTTATTGCTTCCATAAAAAGAACTCATGTCAACAACTTTAAAGGATCCCCAGCCTTTCCTCCATAAGCCGATTTGTCAATATGTGGGAAAGACACCCTCAAAATGATTCTCCATTAGGGTCACAAGATAATAAAAAAGCATATCCCACAGAGATGGCACTGGAAGCATGTACAATTGACAAGTCCATTGAAGCCATGACAGGTGTTTATAAGGTATTTGGAAATGTACTGCACGAAGAATCACTTCATGTTTCACGCAGTCTGCCAGGCCACAGCCTCTAAGGAAGCTTACGAAATTGGTTGTTACCACATTTGGGTAATATATTTAATAAAAATCAATAAGCCTGCCATTTTCTTTTATAAAAGATTGAGCCATTCCCTGGATTTACTGAACTTTTACCTCTAAAGGAAATTTTTAAGTGAAGTGATGAAGTAATTCCTGTAAAATCAAATTGCATGCATTTTCCTCAGTTGGCCCCTCTCTCTCCTTGTCCTATAGTTTTTTGGATATTTAATAATGTTCATTCTGGGACTTTGGTGGAGGGGAATTTCATAATTGCTTAGAATTCAGAATGTATCTCAGACAAGAAGCAGACAGGTATGGGGCAGTGGGGTTACAGGCAGGGGCACAGAATTGGATCCCTGAGCCAAGTCTCTCCTCCAGGCTCTTCTGCTGAGAGTGTGAGTTTGCAGGAACCTGAAAAGCATACCCTTGTTCCTGCTCAAGTTCAGAACAATTGGGTGATAGGCTCAGCCAACAGGCAGATGAAGATCAAACAACCATTCTTGAGAAATGTCGCCAGTAGGGCTCATATCTTGCAGTTCCTCTTAAAAGCTATGCAATGCTGGGCAAGTTACTCAATAATTGCACTTCTTCTCAAGGTTATTGTGAGAACAAAACAAGAAAATATCTGTTAACATGCTTTGCACAGTTGAGAGCACACAGTGAGTACTAAACATTTGTTGGCTCCTATTATCTTCTTGCAAACAGAGTCAACAAAAACACAGTGCAGCTGAACCCAAATCACACATTCAAAAAGTAACATGGATTTTAAAGGGTCTGTGCTCAGAACACAATACCCCAAAGTATGGCCCGTTGCATGCTGAGTACTTTGAACTAAAGGGGATGAGGCCTCAGAGGCAAGGTCTCTCTGACCACCTCCTGCCTTTCTGTTTCTCGCCTCTTTTTTCTCCTCTGAAGTGAGCCATAGAAACAAGAATTCCTCTTTCCCAAGATGGGTTGTAGAAACTAGAACTCTCCCTCAAACTAAGCCATAAAACCTAGAAAGGTCACTCTCTCCCTTCTCCCTTTTTTCCTGAAGACTCTCACTCCAGAGGGGTCCTTACTCCATATCCAGGAGGAAGGAAGGCTATGCAAAGAGGCCAAGAAGAATCTGAATGAGAACACATGGACACAGGAAGGGGAACATCACACTCTGGGGACTGTTGTGGGGTGGAGGGAGAGGGGAGGGATAGCATTAGGAGATATACCTAATGCTAAATGATGAGTTAATGGGTGCAGCACACCAACATGGCACATGTATACATATGTAACTAACCTGCACATTGTGCACATGTACCCTAAAACTTAAAGTATAGTAATAATTTTTTTTAAAAAAAGATGTTAACATAAAGGGAAACTGGGTAAGGGGTATATGGGAACTGTTTGTACTATTTTTTCTGTGTCTAATATTAGTTTGAATTAAAAAGCAATGATAACATTCAAAAAAAAAAAAGAATCTGAATGGACAGGGCTTGCTGGGTGTCTGCCCTCAGTCTATTAGCACTTCACCACACCCTTTTGTCCAATCACATTTCTACACCACTGTCCATCCTTCATCAAGGTTAAGCATAGAAACTGATCTGTAGGCCTTTATTTCTGAAGGCTCCTGTGTCACGTAAAACTTTGATTAAATAAATTTGTCATCTTTTAATTTTGTTAATGTGTCTTTTTTTATAGGAGTGTCAGCTATGACCCTTATGATGGTTGAGGACATTTTCATTCCTACAAAACATTGAAATTCTAATTTAGGAGCACAGAGATAACCACACCCCTTGTGAAGTCAAGGAAAAGAAAACAGAAAAAAATAAAACTTGAATCCATAATTGTTTTATGATGCTAATTTCACTTTTATAGACATGTTGGAGTGCTCTTTTTCAGAGTCTGGTATTGATTCTTCCTGTATTGTTAACTCATAACCAGACATTTGCACACATAAACTTTAAGACAGATAATAAAGAAGAGAGACAGTCACATACATCTCATGTCTCCTGGTTGAGTGGAATACTTAAACACTTTAGAGGTTTGTGAAGTTATGTGACCAGACATTAAACATGGATTGTGGTGATTTAGAGGTGGCTGAGCTTCAGTTAAACTACTCTGCACTGATCAGATCACATCTGGACTATCCTAACAAGTTCTAAGGCCATTTGTAAGAGTGTTATTACCAAACTGGAGTTTCTCCAGGTAAGCGAGCCCAGTGTAAAATGCAAACCTATAGCCATATTCCATGAGAAATGATACAGGGGTTGGGCATCTTCACTTGGGGAAAAAATTCTCAGAGGGTAGGGACTTGGGATAATTAAAAAGTTGCCACATGCAAGGTTTTTGTATTTTTGTTGTATGACCCAGAAATAGGACATATATAGGAAGAAGAAACACAGATGGCTTGGTGTACTAGAAAGCACGTGAGCTCCAAAGTTACAATGTCTGAGGTTGAATCTTGTTTCCACCTTGTTTTTTTTGTTTGTTTGTTTTTTTCTCGAAATGGAGTCTGACTCCATCGCCCAGGCTGGAGTGTGGAGAGCAGTGGCGTGATCTTGGCTCACTGCAACCTCTGCCTCCCAGGTTCAAGCAATTCCCCTGCCTCAGCCTCCTGAGTAGCTGGGATTATAGGCGCCCACCACCATACCTGGCTAATTTTTGTATTTTTAGTAGAGACAGGGTTTTACCATGTTGGCCAGGCTGATCTGGAACTCCTGACCTCATGATCCACTCGCTTCAGCCTCCCAAAGTGCTGGGATTACAGGCGTGAGCCACTGCGCCCAGCCTGTTTCCACCATTTTTAAGTGAAATGTCCTGAATTCAAATTGCTTCCCAAGGTCAGACAGGTGACAGAAATGTATAGAGTAATTCATTAAAAGGATAAAGAATGATGGTAGCAATGGCATGATGAAGAAAACTAAAGTCATCTGCTATAGTTTGAAAGTCTGTCCCTCCAAAACTCATGTTGGAGTTTCGTTGCCATTGTAACTGTATTAAGAGGTGGGGACGACTGAGAGGTGTTTAGGTCATGAGGGTTCTGCCTTCATGAGTCGATTGGTGCCATTATAAAAAGGGCTTGCAAGAGTGGATTCACCCCTTCTTCCTTCCACCATGTGAGAATGCAGCAGGAAGGCCTCGCTAGATGTCAGCACCTTGATCTTGGACTTCCCAGACTCCAAAACTATGAGAAATAAATTTGTTTTTTATAAATTACCCAGTCTCAGGTATTCTAATATAGCAGCACAAAATGGACTAAGACATCATCCCAATTTTTGGTTTGGGTTTTTGTTTTTTTTTCTTTTTGAGGCAGAGACTTGCATTGTCACCTGGGCTGGAGTGCAATGGCGCGATCTCCGCTCACTGCAACCTCCGCCTCCCGGGTTAAAATGATTCTCCCGCCTCAGCCTCCTGAGTAGCTGGGATTACAGGTGCCTACCACTACGCCTGGCTAATTTTTTATATTTTCAGTAGAGATGGGGTCTCACTATGTTGGCCAGGCTGGTCTCAAACTCCTGACCTCATGATCCACTCGCCTTAGCCTCCCAAAGTGCTGGGATTACAGGCATGAGCCATGGTGCCCGGCCTCAATTTTTAAAAAGATGCATTAGACACACACACAAAAAAATGATCTGTGGGCCAGTCTGGTTTATAAGCCTCTAATGGCAATTCCTTAAGTAATCTTGGGAAAGTTGCTTATAGGCTTTTATGCTCATGGAGTTGCTCTTCTGTAAAATGGGAATATTAATAAGATTTGCTTCAGCAAGATTTGATGGTACTCAGGAGAAATAAGATATACAGAAATGCTTTGGAAAGAATACATAAAGAGCTACATAAATGTTGGATACAATTTTTAAGAACTTTCTAATTATTAGAATGTTGGGAAAGGAGTTTGGGAATTATAGAAGGTAGAGAGCATTATCTGTCTCATGAGGGTTTTGGGGCTTGGCTATTCAGTTGTGAAAATGATTCACATACTGAATGGGATAAATCTGTGGGACAGACTAAGGTTCTGAAATTTTCATGCAAGAAATTTATAGGAGGGTATTCTCAAAAACAGCACCTGTGAGGAGTGAGGAGGCAGGCTGCATCTATGAGGTGTGAGGGAAGAAGCCATGCAAAGCAAGGAGTTGAGTTCCAACAGATGAGGACACTGAAGTTGCAACAGATGCCTCAACCCATGCCACAGAGAGCTCTGGAGCTGGGAGGACCCTGCAGAGTTGTTCCAATGGGATTGTTACCAAACCAAACCAGGTCCATTTTTCCACATATGATGGAAAGTCAAATACTTGCTTGCAGTGAGAAAGGTTTATCACAAGTCAACTGGCAAAGAGACAGGAGAAAATACTCAAATCTGTTTCCTGAGCTGGGGGCTGGGGCAGGTTGTTTGTTTGTGACCAAGTCTTGCTCTATCACCCAGGCTAGAATGCAGTGGCACGATCTCTGCCTCCCGGGTTCAAGCAATTCTCCTGCCTCAGCCTACTGAGTAGCTGGGATTACAGGCTCGTGCCACCATGTCCAGATAATTTTTGTATTTTTAGTAGACATGGAGTTTCACCATGTTGCCCAGGCTGGTCTCGAACTCCTGACCTCAGGTGATCCTCCTGCCTCAGCCTGCTGAAGTGCTGGGATTACAAGCATGAGCCACCACACGCAGCCAGGGGCAGGTTTTATAGGCATACATTAATGAGTCTTCATCTGATTGGATCTTGCAATGACGTGATACCAGAAAGCACTATCTGACTGGTTCCTGCCATGGGGTGATGCCAGGGCTCAATCTGACTGGATCCTGGATCCTGCCATGCAGTGTCCACTTCTTAATTCAGTCCCTATTCCTCAGGCTGAGCATTTAGGTTCTGCTTCTGGTTGCACACTTGGTCCATCGAAGCATGCTTCGGTTACGTGACCTTCAACCTAGGGGGTCTATGGCAACGAAAAAACAACTCACAACTTTGTTACGTAAAAGTTGAATCAGATTGGTCTGCTGCAGTTACAAGACAATGAGGCTGGGCTTTTGTATCTCTCTATGGACAGGTCATTGGTGACAGCCTGCCTCAGGGAGGGTGTGTAACCTCAGGCAGAGGGCAGCAGGACTCAGCTATGAGCCACCAGTAGCCCATAGCCCTGGCAGCAGGGGAATGCAATCCTCCCTCCTGAGGAGGCTGACAGGGTACCATGGTACCACAGCATCACCATAGCTTGGATAACCTTAACAATTCTTGCAAGAGAAATAATGATGACATGAATAATTTAATGAATTAGCACTTACTGACTACCCTTTGTGTACCAAATTCTATGCTAACCCCTCCCATACATTATTTCATTTTCTCACATTCACCCTGAAAGACAGTTATTTCTATCTCTAAATTACCCATAAGAAATTTGAGAGTCAGAAAGGTTTAGATATTTATTCAAACTTCCACAGCTCGTTAATAACAGACGTAGGATTTGATAAAGCTCCATCAGGCTGGGTGCGGTGGCTCACACCTGTAATCCCAGCACTTTGGGAGGCTGAGGTGAGCAGATCACTTGAGTTCAGGAGTTCGAGACCAGCCTGGCCAACATGGTGAAACCCTGTCTCTACTAAAAATACAAAAGTTAGCCAGGTGTGGTGGTACACACCTGTAATCCCAGTTACTCAGGAGGCTGAGGCAGGAGAATTGCTTGAGCCCGGGAGGCGGAGGTTGCAGTGAGCTGAGATTGTACCACCACACTCCAATTTGGGTGACAGGGAGACTTCATCTCAAAAAAAAAAAAGAAAAAAGGTCCATCAGACCCCAAAGCCTGGGCTACTAGCCTTCAGGAATGATCATGTGATTTTCCGTATATGATTCCTGACATCCCCACTCTGCTGGGAAGGACTCATGTCCCCTGTTTCCCAGATGAGGAATCACCCAGAAATCTCAGGTCATTATGAAACATGATCTAGATTTGATTCAAACCCAGGTCTGAATGACTCCAAAATCCATGTGCTTCCTCAAAGCCACACTGCCTCTTCTAAAAGACACTCACCACTCTAAAAGAACCAACTTTCAGACCCCAGAAGACAATGTACAGTGAGGGCCTGGTGTTACCCTAATGGCCCATAGCGGGCCGTGAGTAGAGCAATCATTGCAGGTTACATGAGTTCCTGTGGCTCAGATTGTCAAGAACCTCTGCCTGAGAGGTTTAAAGAAACTCAAGAGAACAAAAAGGGGCACTCTATTCTCAAACTTTCTGGGGAGTTAAAGCAAAGCAAGCCCAAGGCTACAAGCAACTAGAATTTGTCTTCCATTTATCATCATCACTGCCTCTGAGCAATTGCCTAAGTTGGGCAGGGGGTAGGCGGGTGGTAAGGATTGAAACTTCTCATCCCTTCACCACAACAGAATCCTGCATATTAAGAAATGTATTGCTGGGCGTGGTGGCTCATGCCTGTAATCCCAGCACTTTGGGAGGCTGAGGTGGGCAGATCACGAGGTCAGGAGATCAAGACCATCCTGGCTAACACAGTGAAACCCCATCTCTACTAAAAATACAAAATATTAGCCGGGCGTGGTAGCGGGCACCTGTAGTCCTAGCTACACAGGAGGCTGAGGCAGGAAAATGGCATGAACCCGGGAGGTGGAACTTGCAGTGAGCCGAGATCACGCCACTGCACTCCAGCCTGGGCAACAGAGCAGGACTCCATCTCAAAAAAAAAAAAAAAAAAAAAATGTATTGACCTCCTAAGACCTGGATCTTTAAGTTCGAATGTGACAATTGCCAGGCCCATTCCTTACCTGTATTATCACAGCTCTCCGTGGGAATTCACACAGTTCAAGTTCACCTGCAACTTAGGTTATCCATGAGATAAATCTAAAATATGAATCACCGAGGCTGCCAGGAGAAGGTAGAGCATGCAGAGATGACAGCTCATTTTACAACAGCCCTGAAAGGGTCTTCAAAATCTTCAGGCCAGTTGACATACAAAATCTGAGTAGGTGGTACCCCATTTATCCCTCATTTCCTGCTGCCCCCACCTTGGCCTATTATGATTTTGGTGAAGAAGCACCAATTTTAGAGGGAAGTGACCATAGTCTCAATACTGCCTCAGTCGTATGAACTTGGACATGTTTCTTAACCTCGCTGGTTCTAGTTTTTCACATCTGTAAATGAGAATAACAATAGCAATGTTTGCAAAGGTGCCTAGTAAAGTGGGCTGGTTTGTAGTATGTATTCAAAACAAAACAAAACAAAATAATGAGTTCTCTTCTCCTTAACCCTCCTGCCTCTTCATTTTCCTCAAATAAAATCTAGGTACATACACACAAAAGGAGAGATTTCAACACCTATCAAGCTAACGCATAGAGAAAGTATATTATCCAAGCCGTATTCTTACGTCAAGTAGTCTTAAAGCCCTAGGAACTTTTCATTTTATTCCATAAATATCTACCAGGCATCTATTAGATGATAGACCCCAGAATGCAAAGATAAAAAAAGGTATTGGCCCAGTCCTCAAGGTGCTCACACAAGAGCCAATACTTATGCTCCTGTCCCTTTCACTCATTTGACGGAACTCAGAATGTGTCATAGCGTTGTATGCATCTCTCTAGGGTGCTGTATATGGTCATCATTTTTACTATTAATTGAAACCAAGCTAATTTGATTTTTAAAATTTTGGTCTTCCTATCTATCCAGTATTTTCATATCCAAAAGAGCCACATTGTCAGGGCTGCCTAAGGAGTGTAGCAAAGGCAGTTGTTAATGACTCCGTTGAAAAAGTCTCTCTGGGGACTGAATTCAGTACTTTAGCAGGCATGTAGGGAACTGGATCTGCACCCCCACTTGTGGGAAAGAACAGAGATCTGTGTTTTGTCCTAGAAGGACCTTCCACGTTTAGTCTGGCTGAAACAGAATTCAATCGTTACCCCAACCACAGATCCTACTGAGAATTTGAGGAAATTATGTTCCCATGGCCCCTAAATGAGGGAAAACCAATTAAAGCACAATTCATTATTGCATTCTAAATATAGGCCAAGTCGGGTCCCCTGAAACCTATTAACCTATTAACTACATGTACTAGAAATTTGCTATGTTCTTCAGGAAAGTTAGTCTATACTGAAAGTTCAGTGGACAAGGCAGACAAACAAGGATCATAGTAAGAGTCCTGTAAGTAGAAAAGGGTCTGTGAGTTCTGAGAGACAGACAGAGAGGCAAATAAAAGCAAGTTATTAGATATTCATACAAGAGCCTATCAGAAAACAAGGTAAAAGAAGGAAAAAGAGAGATGAAAAGAATAAAATGGAGGAAGAGAAAGGGAAAGTGGTGAAGAGATATCTATTGATACCTGTAAAGCAGGTATGCCTGCTACGTCAGGCATTGTCCTACTGCTTTACACACATAGGTGATCCCATCTCTATTATTGTGCCCATTTTACAGAAAACTGAGCCCATGAAAATTAAATAATTCCCCAAAGTCACATAAACTAGAAAATAGCTGGGGTCCACAGTTTCGATTTGACCATTTTGGGGCAGAGCTCATTAAAGGTAGTTTTTATAGACCTTGCTGTGCCTTTAGTTTGTTTGTAGGGTGGGGTTGATCCTTAGCATGTCAGCTGCTTTATCCCCACCCCATCTCAACTGTTCTTTAAAACCAGAAGATGAAAGAATCTTCTTTAGGATTCATCAATTCAAAGAAGAATGGGATTGTCAGATTGTCCGCTAAAGGAACCTGAACTGTCTGGCCCCAGAGATTGGACCTCAGGATGCAACCAGGCATGGCCATAGACTTACTACAAGAAGGGCCAGACTAGAAGGCACCTGAAATTTGGCCTTCAATTGGGATTTGTCCATTTAACAAATACCCATAGAGCACCTACTATGTTAGACAGGTTCTAGGTGCTGATGTACAGGGCTGCCTGAGAGCACAGTGCCCTCACTGAACATACAACTCGGTGGAAGTAAATGATAATACAACTATAGTGAGTCCTAAGTGCTACAAAGACAATAAAGCTGCATAAGGGCTAGCAGTAACTGGTGAGGTCAGAGATCACAGATACCTAGGGGGAAAGATTCTGGGAAGAGAGAACAGCAAACGTAAAGAGGAAATTTGCATGGCGCAAAGAAAACCCAGAAAGCTGGTGTGCTTGGCCATCATGATTAAGAAGGAGAGTGTTTGGACACGAATTTGAGGCTCTGTCTAGCTCTCCAAACTGACTATGTGAACACTAAACTTACTTCCTCTGGACACACAGCTAAACTATGTTTTCCAGCCTCCCTTGCAGACAAGGGATCTCACTATAGAGAGCGTGTGATCATCACTATCATTGGAGAATGAAAAAATACTATGGGAGCTCAAAAGATGTAATCACAGTCTCTGGGAGCACAAGGAAGTCTTCATAAAGGACGTGACATCTAACTGAGGCCTTGAAGGATACATAGGGGTTTTCTAGGTGGAGAAGGAGACGCAAGGCAATTCAGATAGAGGAAGCAGCTCACACAATGGATCAGAGATGTATACCCTTTAAGCATCAGGGAATCATGAAGAACTGCGTCATTTATAGAGTTAATATTTAATCTCCATAATGATGCTGTAAACTCCTAGAAAGCAAAGGATACCTTCAATTTATTTTGTATCCCTCAAATTCCAGGCACATGGTAGGAAGGAAGAATAGAAAGAGTGAGGCAGGAAAGGAAAGAGGGACAGATGGAGGGAGGAAGGACATATAGTACATGTGGGTACAAGCCATACATTCATCCTTAGTTATCTAGGGCTGGTCTCACTGCTGAGAGAGAACATTCAGGGTTAATTTGAGTTTTATTTACCTTGTGTCTATGTTCATTTCACACCATCTGACAGCTGTTTTAGGCCATTTCACTCATGGTTGGAAGCATGATCAGGCCTGAAATGCAGGTTGTAAATAGTGTACATTACATAGTAAAGCTGGATTTAGTGGGTAGTATGTTTTATTAATGTTACAACATTTATTGTGTATTTTAAGTTGTTATTGATTTTTATTAAAGGGGCATTTTTATTACAAGTACATGATGCCAGGAAAATAAAACCCTCCCCTCTCCAAAGCAAATTTGGGTTAATTTGCTGTTAAGTGATCATGAAAAACACAGCTAGATTTGGCTGGCTCAGATTATGCTTCCCCAGTGATAGCTCGTCTATGTACTTCTGCATGAAGGGTTGGAAGGGAAAACAGATAACGTCCTCACCTGGACCAGCGTGGATGCCAAGGAAACAAAGAGGAATTCTGATACTTTAGTTCATTTTTAACTATAAAACTAATGAAAAAATAACTCCAGCTGCAAGTCACCTGAGATGTGAAGGACACGAGAAACAGTATTTGGATACTGTAATTTTATTTCTTCTCCACCAAGTTTGTACCTACGTGAACAGCCCAAACCTGAGATTTCACTGTGGGACCTCCTGCTACTATCATCCTTGTCTTCAAAACTGTCATTTGGCATATCAGTACTCTTACTGCCAATTTCTCCCCCATCATTTTCCTGGGTCCACAAAATCTTTCCTTGTATTTCGGAGATTTTAAAGAGTATTCTTCACTGTCCAATACGGCAGCTGCTAGCCACATGTGGCTATTTATGTTTAAATACAAATTTTTTAATGAAAAATTCCGTGCTTTGATTGCTCTAGCCACATTTCAAATGCTCAAGAGCCGCATAGATCTAGTGGCTACTATATTGGACAATGCAGATATACATTTCTATCACTGCAGAAAGTCCTATTGGAGAGTGTTGCTCTACATCAGAGGCCCCTCCAAGACCATGGAAATGTGCCCATCTTGCTTGCACAAAATGTTCTGCATCCTCCCATTTTTCTCCTTTCCCACGGCCACACAGTCCTGTTTGGTTAGTTGGTTGTTTTAGAGATGGGGTTTTACTCTGTTGTCCAGGCTGGAATGCAGAAGCACATTCATAGCTCACTACAACCTCAAACTCCTGTGCTCAAGCATCCCCCCTGCCTCAGCTTCCCAAGTAGCTAGGATTACAAGTACACACCACAGCACCCAGCTTTCCACAGTCCTTTTTTTTTTTTTCCAAGACAGAGTTTCACTCTTGTTGCCCAGGCTGGAGTGCAATGGCACAATCTCGGCTCATTGCAACCTCCACCTCCCAGGTTCAAGTGATTCTCCTGCCTCAGCCTCCTGAGTAGCTGGGGTTATAGGCATGCACCACCACACTCAGCTAATTTTGTCTTTTTAGTAGAGACGGGATTCCTCCATGTTGGTCAGGCGGGTCTCAAACTCCCGACCTCAGGTGATCCGCCCACCTCGGCCTCCCAAAGTGCTGGGATTACAGGCATGAGCCACCACTCCCAGCAGTCCATTTCTTTAAATTGGATCCTCCTGGCCTTGTGTTTGAGTTCCTCTGGCCTCTTCCCCTAACTCTGTCCACTTCCAGCTTTCAGCTTATAACCTCTAACTCTAATCCCATTCCTGCCTGCATTTGCCAACACTCTCCTTCACACTCATTCATTCATTCAAAAAGTATTGAATAGCAAATAAGTGTGTGGCACTGTGGCACTTGCTTGCTAACTTGCTAGGGATACAAAAGCAAAGGCCCCATTCCTTATCCTTTAAGGCATCACAATCAAGCAGAGAGCATGAATGATAACCTTAGTTGTTGAATAAGAATTCAGAAAGCAAATCGTGTTATTTTCCTGCTTCAATATCTTCAGTAGATCACTATTTCCCAAGGAAAATGGTTTTTTTAATGCTGTAAATTATTCAATCTATTTACACACTTTCAGGGACTGATCTTTTGCACACTTCATGTATGAGGAATAGAAAAACATATGTGATATATTTCCCCTTTCCTTAGGAATAATATTGCTTCTTTTAAACCCTTATAAATGGAAAATTTTGAGAAATGTATTTACCCCCTTATAATCAATTGGATGCCAAGACATAATTTGAAAGGAAGAGGTATGAGATTCTTCCCATGGAGGGCTGGGGGCACTAGGAAAAACCAAGGCTTAGGCCACTCCCGAAAGTAGTCTGTGTAAGTTGAGACCCAGAGGGCATGTTGGGCTGTGAGGCTCTTCCATTAGTTTATACTCCCTTGACCCACCTTCACTCAATTGCCAGAACACATCCACATACAGGTGTGCTGCAAGGCCACATCTGGGCAGAGAGGATGGAGAAGCTCACCCAAGCCCATCCATGCCAAGAAATGAAAGCCCTTGAAGTTTCCTGCTACAGTGACGGTGGTTGTTGTTACTGTTACCTATCTCTATGTGGGCACTTGGTCTACTTGACATTCTAGAAAGATGAGCATAGAGATGAAGTAGCTGTGCTCCAGATGAAAACAACCTCAACAAAGCCAGGCTCCATTGGCTCCAGTCCCACTCACCAATCTCTTGTATTGTCCACGCTAGGAGGATCAACACCTCCCCATCCTTCCCCAGTCCATAGGGAGCAATATCTGGAAATAACCTGCTGGGAAAGCTCTGTACCTCAAGCTCCCTGAACAGAAGGTGGGAAGCCTAGCACCTCACCTGGTTCTTGTCCAGACCATCTCTCTGTGGGTTGTGCTTCCAGTATCCCTTGCATCAACTAACATGGTTCAGATGCAGCTATTCTACATCCACATTATATCTGGAATTACAGCCACCTAGAAGTCTTTTTCCTGCTGCTTGCCCCATGTTTAGAATGCCCAGGAGACTGAAGCCAGCTAGCAATGGATCGTGGCAAAAGGAAACTGCATAGTGGCTAAGAACATCCCCTGTGAAACCAAGTGGCTTGGCCTTGGATCATGAGTCCCCTCTTCTCTGACTGTGAAACCCTGGGCAAGTTAATGCCCCTCCTTTCCAATTTTCCCATCAATAAAGTGCGACACTTGTAGTACCTACTCCACAAGACTGTTGGGAGGATTCAGTCAGATAATCCCCCTAATAATCCACACACTCAGCACACTGTCTGCCTCCTGTGTACTAGTAGTTGTTAACTACTCATTTTATTCAACTAGCACTCCTCATTCTGTTGGACTTGGTAATACAGATAGCCAGGGCCTGGAGGACAAGGACCTTCTGTCTCTTTAGCTCCCCTCAATTTCTCCCTTCCCCAGGGGGGAGGTAGGAGGACCATTTCACCACTCAAGAAAGAAATGAAAGTCCTTAATACCTCAGTAGATCTGAAGGAGCAGATTGGGTGAGAAGCAGTAGACAGACAGGGCAGGGAGCTCCCTATTTGCAATCATCACTTAAGCCTGAAGGTCTCACCCTCATCCCAAGACAGGATCTTAGCAGTTTCTTCATGGCAAAACTTGAGAGGCAGTACTTCTAAAACCAGGACCTTTCCTTGAATGAGCATTTATCATTATTCTATTATCACATTGAGGGGCCTAAGTGCTATGGCTTCTCAGTGATGCCAAGGAAGCCTGGGGTTGAATGAAGTCACCTCTCCCAGGCAGATAGCTCTACTCTGCAACTTAAAGTTTGGGTATCTCATAGGCATCACAGCATAGAATAGCTAAATAATGCTGTTAGAAGAGCATAATGACATCTTCATATCCATGATCTGTCCCTGTCATTTGCACTACATACTACTCTTAAAGTGAGTTGAAAGCTCCCAGTTGGCCAGAGTCAAAACCTGAAACCCTTCCCTGGAAAACAAATTATTCCCCAGTAACTAGTGAGAACAGAATAACTTTGCATGGAAATTGGTCCAGAAAGGCCAGGGACCAAGAGTGGTAGGAAGTCCTAGAGAAGTCCTAAGTGTAGCTAGCCAAGAATAGGTAGCCAAGCCGTGTATTTGAGATGGGGGCCTCTACTTTATCACACGGAGCCCTCTGAGTTGCTTTACCGCCATGACAATTGGACTCAAGTGATGTCCCACTGCCCCCGCTCTGAGCTAGTAATGACCTTGTTCAAAAGATAACCCTGATGCAATGGACACAGAAAGGAGTTAGCATCTGGAGACTTGACTTGAGGTTAAAGCCCAAACCCCTTCATGTTCATCCAAGGACATGCCCCAGTGATAGGACCCCAGCCTACCTTTCTAGGTACATTTCTCCCAGCACCCTCTGCTCCAGCCTTCCTTCTCTCTGGGCTACAGGGATATCACATCGTGCTTTTCCAGAACTCTGAATTTGTGTACATGAGACCCCAGTGCTAGAATCCTCCTCCTCCTCCTTTTGGAGAACTCCATCTCCCTTCAAGGCTGAGTCCAATGTCATTACCTCTGTGAAACCCTCCCTGACCCTCTAAGTCAGAATTCTCTTGCCACCTTTCTAACAGTTTTAATCCATCTTCGAACGTTTTTTAAAAATAATCTTTGGGTTGCAAATCTCTTAAAATGTTCATGAAGGAAGTAGACCCCCCACCCCAGGAAAACGCTCATAAGACAGGTAATTTTAGAGTGCTAGAGGATTTCCTGAGTTCATCTGTGGATCAATTACAAATTCCCCCTCTTGTTATTTTTTCAATCACTTGCTGTCACTAACATTTAAGCCAGACAGAAAATTCTGGATAACTGGATCTCCTCCAAGGCAAATATTCCTCAAATGCTGCCACTATAAAAGGGTGGTGAAGGGAAGGGGCAAGCAGCCAGATGATTTTGGCTCTAGGTGAGACAAGAAGTTTCTCCTGGACTAAATGCCCTTAGATAGTTCTTTCCTGACACTAGAAACCCTTCACTTGGGTCCTGTTTCTCCTCTTCCCCTATGAGACATTTCCCTGGCCGCCCAGAATGATTGAAAATTGCGTGTGTCCATGGCAGGCTGAGACTGCTGTCTGGAGAAGGGCAAGAGGAGCTGTTTAACTCCCTTGTGCCCACTTACTTGTAGGTTTAAAAAGTTGTGGGAACTGTGGAGGGCTGCACAGAAGTTCAATGACTCCACTGATGGAGACTGTGAATGGCTTTGGTGATGGCTGCATCCCTGTATTCCCTTAGGGCTCTGAAGCAATGGTCAGCCATCTAATCCAGGCTCTGTAGACCACACACCAGACACTCCCTGTGCCCTGTCCAGGAATGTGCCCTCCCCACTGGGATGCAAGTTTCATCCCCTTCTGGCTCCAGGCCCGGGAGTCTGACTCATACACAATCCATCTTTTAGGGTACCTAGACTATTGCCATTAAAAGTAATGGCCAAACTGCAATTACTTTTGCACCAATCTGATACTAGAAAGAGGGAAGGGACAGGTGGAGGCTGAGAAACCCCATCCATATCCCATCTGGACCACCCTTCCACCAGGGCCTGGCTCCTGTCTGCACACCCAGATGAACGCTGGAGCTCATACTGAAAGGAAACAGGGGATTTGCTCTCTTGTTTCAAATGTGTTGCTGATTGTGTTTATTGGCCTATTAATTATCTGTGTCTTTTAACAGTCTCCGTCCTGGAAAAAATAAACATGCAGACGATGATTCCAATGTGACTTTTCAGGGTGATGGAAATTACAAAGTTGTCCAGCCCTAGAGAGTATCAGGCAGTGTAACAATGTTCTAATGTAAAGCACAGAGCAATTAGCAGGAAAATTTACCTTCCTGTCTTAAAAGCATTTTTATCACTTAATCAATCACAAGCAATTTCTAAACAAGGCGTGGGTTTTACAAGGAACCATAAATCTCTCCCATTTGCTTCCAGGGGAAAGAGCAGGAAAAACAGACATAACATTCCAGAAGGGGCACTTTATCAATTAAAACAAAAATTGAACCCAAGTCACACAGGAAACAAAAAAGTGGGCAGGAGGTAACCACAGGGTCACAGAAGATACAGGGAAGAAAGAATAGTTGGGGGTAGGGGATTGGTCCTGACCACAGGTCCAAGTTCAAACCCACAGATAGAGCAAGAAAGCAAGAAACACAACCTGGAAAAAAAAACCCAGAGGCAGCCAACAGATTTTCCTCATTTTATTTCATGGCCAAGGGCTTCCAAGCTGTAGCCTTTCTCTGGGCCTCAGTTTCCTCTTTTTTTGTTTGTTTGTTTGTTGTTGTTGTTTTTATTATTATTATTATACTTTAAGTTTTAGGGTACATGTGCACAATGTGCAGGTTAGTTACATATGTATACATGTGCCATGCTGGTGTGCTGCACCCATTAACTCGTCATTTAGCATTAGGTATATCTCCTAATGCTATCCCTCCCCCGTCCCCCCACCCCACAACAGTCCCCAGAGTGTGATGTTCCCCTTCCTGTGTCCACGTGTTCTCATTGTTCAAGTCCCACCTATGAGTGAGAACTTGCGGTGTTTGTTTTTTTGTCCTTGCAATATCGTTTGTTGTTTTGGTTTGGTTTGGTTTTGGATTTTTGTTGTTATTTTTGAGATGGTGTCTCGCTCTGTTGCCCAGGCTGGACCGCAGTGGTGCAATCTCGGCTCACTGCAACCTCCACCTCCCAGGCTCAAGCAATTCTTGTGCCTCAGCCTCTTGAGTAACTGGGACTACAGGCGTGCACTGCCATGCCCAGCTAATTTTTTGTGTGTTTTGTAAAGACGGGGTTTCACCATGTAGCCCAGGCTGGACTGCAGTGGCACAATCTCAGCTCACTGCAACCTCCACCTCCCAGGCTCAAGCAATTCTCGTGCCTCAGCCTCCTGAGTAACTGGGACTACAGGAATGCACCGCCATGCCCAGCTAATTTTTTGTATTTTTTGTACAGACGGAGTTTCACCATGTAGCCAGGCTGGTCTCAAACTCCTGACCTCAAGCAATCCACCCACCTCAGCCTCCCAAAGTGCTGGGATTACTTTACTTTTGAGAGAATTTAGACTGGATAAAATCCAAATGGTTTTTAGCCCTGACCGCGTATCAGAATCACCAGGGGAGCGTCTTAAAAATGCCATTGCCAGGTTCCTTCCCAGACCAATTAAACCAGACTTTCTAGGGCTGAATGGTCTTTAATCTTGTCTAGCCTCAGCTCGAACATCCAAGCAGAGAATCTATTTTGAAAATAAAATGCTTAAATTCCTCGCTGCAGTGAGCTCAGCAATTAATGATAGAGACATTCGGCTTGCATTCATACCTTCATTCTTCCCTTCAGTCAATAAACTTTTCCCGAGCTCTTCTATGTACCCCATCCTGGGCTAGACCCGTGGACATGTGTCTCAAGGCTCAGGATGCTTCCATAAGAAATGTACCATTAGCTCTCCTTTAGACCAAAGAAAGGGTTCCTGGAGGCCTCGGTGAACAGGTGCAGAGGTAGGGAAATGCTATTCGCAGGTCAACACCTATCAGCTCTGTTGGTTTATTACTTCCAGGTTCTCAAAGCCTCTCTGAAGAATACTGTGGAATAATAATTTTTCTATCACAGGACTGTACTGGGCACAAGCTAGGCAGAGAGGAGCAACTAGGACCTAACTCTGGTACAAATGCTGCAGAGAACAGTTAAGTGTGACAGCCAGAGAAAGAACCCTATTGAAGTGATGATGGATGCAGCTTGGACATTTCCTCGGGCCCACAATGGACCCATCCTTTTAAGGGAGTGGTGACTTTAGTTAACACTTAAAACAGTGACATCTGTGTCCCTCCAGACAGGCAGCCTGAAGCAAAAACTGACTTGGCCCAGCCCTCCCATGGCCCAAAGTCAACTTGCTTTCTTCAGTCAAGTAAAGATTGTCATACACTTCCCAAATTTTGAACCAACATATTCAGGACTGATGTTTTTTTCCCCCCTAATTTTACCTAAGGCCTCAGATTCAGAAGAAAAACAAATTTTCTTCTCTTGGTCATATGGAATTAAAATCAAATGCAAATGCTTTCATCTATATAAAATTTCCCTTTCTTCTGAATTCTTCTAGTGTTTATGTAAGTCTTTCATGACCTATATCTCACCTTGACCTTAATTATAATGTTTCTACCATGGAATTCTTTCTGCTAGACTAGTGATTGTCTAGTGCAGTAGAAACAATAAGCTTTTTGAGACTCGTGGATCAAATCCCAGCTCCAGTCCTTATGTGGCTATGTGTCTTGGAGAAAGTTATTTGACCTTTCTGAGCTCTAGTTTCTAACCTATGAAGGGAAGATAATAAGACCTGCTCAGAGTGTTGGTGTGAAAACGAAGGAAGATAGCACACATCATGTCTCTAAGTTTACCAACATCCAGCTTAAAATGCAGTGCTCAGAACCCAGCAAGTACCCACACCATGGTTCATCAACTGGAGAGCATGTGATTGGTGCTTTCGTCAGCAGAATGAATCAGAGAAACTAGGTTTCACTTGGGCAGTGTGAAGAGTGCAGATGGAAACCAGGGGCAAGCTTCAGCCATGGGGAGGGCCCACACACTGCTGGGAGAGCCCGGGCACCAAGGGAGGGCCAGTGCCATTGTTTTTGGGTGAGTAGACACGTTGAAGAGACTCCTGCCTACAATGACCTTCATTACATATTTCCACTACGACACTATTTCACACTGCTTCCTCTGGCACCTCTCATCATTGCTCAGAACAGTCACGCCAACAGTACCTATTACAAGTACAGAAAACTTTGCTCAGGGAGAATGACCACTCCACCAGCCAGTCCTCTGGCTACAGGCACACACGAGTGTGCACGTGCACATGCACACACACACACACACACAGAAGGATGCACATACACCTGGATGCTGACATACACACAGGCACACACACGAGCACACACAACACTTTCTATTTAAATATCTGCTGCTCTGTAGAGCCCTTCTACTTGGTGTGGATGAAATCATCTTGCTGGCCTCCTTCCTCAGTGTCCACCAAGATAGCAGGAAAGAGAGTCATAAGAGGACTATCCTTTACCAAGCACTTATGTCACCAGTACAGAGGGTATGTGCACCAGTACAGAGGGTATTGTGCAGGGTGTGGATTCGAGTCCAGGACTTTCTTACACTAAACTGAAAGCAAACTTTCTCTCTTTTTTTTTTTTGGAGACAGAGTCTCCCTCTGTCTCCCAGGCTGGAGTGCAGTGGTGCGATCTCGGCTCACTGCAAGCTCCGCCTCCCAGGTTTTACGCCATTCTCCTGCCTCAGCCTCCTGAGTAGCTGGGACTACAGGCGTGCACCACTTATGCCCGGCTAATTTTTTTTTGTATTTTTAGTAGAGATGGGGTTTCACCGTGTTAGCAAACTTTCTATAAAGGGTCAGATAGTAAATATTTTCACTTTTGTGGGCCACTTGATTGCTGCCACAACTATTCAACTCTACTATTCTAAGGCAAAAGCAGTGAGAGCTGATACATTTTAAAAAGGGGGCATAGTTGTATTCCAATAAAACCTTATTTACAAAAACAGTCCATGGGCAGCAGCTTTCTGACTCCTGGTCTAAAGTCTTAGTTCTTAACCACTAGGCTCTAGAACTGGGTCTTGTTTCTGTTAACCCAAAACATGATCCCTACAATAGGTACTAGGGACTCCAAAATGGGGGAGGGAGGGAGGCATGGGAAAAAGGGTTTAAAAACTACCTTTTGGATACTATGTCCACTATTTGGGTGATGGCTTCACTAGAAGCTCAAACCCAACATCACCTAATATATCCATTAAAAAACTTGCACATGTGCCCTCTGAATCTAAAATTTAAAATATATTTTTAGTGGTCCCCTTTATTAATATACAGCAATTGTCCTAAATATTTTGATACCACTTGGCCTAATAATTTTGCTTCCAGGGATTTATCTTAATAATTATCAACAGTTATTGAGCATTTTATATTCAGTATCTATTTGACCTTCACAGTAACCCCATATGATGAGTCATATTTTTGTCTTCATTTTCAGATAAGGAAACTGAGGTAGGAAGCTGCTAAGCAATTTTTCCCCCGGACACACAGTAAGTGATAAAGCTGGGCTCTGACATAAGGCAGTGATTTCTAACTCATAAGAGAAAAAAATACACAAAATTAGACAAGTACACAAAAATGCCTGTTGTTTGAAACAAAGTTCATAACAACATAAAGAAATAACCCAAATGTAAAAGTTAGAAAGTGAATAAAGAGTTATGGTACAGTAGACTACAAGGTAGTATTTGAAAGTGATAGGGAATAATGCTGTTTGCAAAAAGGGCTGCAGCCATTCCTCTCATCCCCAGATGCATGCCCCTTGCACTGCCACTTTGCTGCTCCTCCCATCTAAAGTTAGAGCCCATTTTTGGAGGACTGAATGCAGGCAACACTATGACTCATTTGACCAAGAGACTGAATGGGAAGTGACGTTATGTGTGTGACATCCAAGGCTAGGTTTTTGAGATGGAGTCTTGCTCTGTCACCCAAGCTGGAGTGCAGTGGTGTGATTTCAGCTCACTGAAACCTCCACCTCCTGGGTTCAAGCGATTCTTTTGCCTCAGCCTCCCGAGTGGCCAGGTCTACAGGCATGCACCACTGCATCTGGCTAATTTTTGTATTTTTAGTAGCGGCCAGGTTTCACCATGTTGGCCAGGCTGGTCTTGAACTCCTGACCTCAGGTGATCTGCCCACCTCGGCTTCCCAAAGTGCTGGGATTACAGGCATGAGCCACTGCACCCGGCCGAAGGCTGTCTTAAAGGGTGTGGCAGCTTCCATCTTTGCCCTTTTGAAATGCTTTCCTGAGCCCACCATACAAAGAGATTCCATGCAGCTCACCGGAGGACAAGGGCCACATGGAGGAGAACCAAGGCCCTCCACCGCGGAGCGATTCCAGATGAGGTTTGCCAGCTAAAACACACAACACTCAGTTAAATTTGCATTCCAGATAAGGAGCAGTTTCTTAGTATATGTCCCAAATATTGTATAGACATGCTTATACCAAAAAAAAAAAAAACTAGTCAGTGTTTATTTGGAATTCAAATTTAACTAAGTGTGTTGAATTTTTATTTAAATCTGACAATCCTACAGGTGAGTCCAGCAGAAGAACCATCTAGCTGATCCCAGTCTGAGTTCCTGATCCAAAGAATCACAAGAAATAATAAATTATCGTTGTAAGCCACCAAGTTTTTGAATCATTTGTTATACAGTAACGTATAACTGCAGGATCGTCCTATTTAGTGATGTGGGCCCTGTTTACCACGGGATTGGTAGTAGTATAGGAAGAGAAGAAGGATGACATTCAGACAGGGAAAGATTTGCAAACAAAGAGTAGACACTGTCATGGCCACCCTTCAAAAACACTGAGTAGCACTCTATGACGAAAGTAGAAAGCATTAAATGGGGATCAGTGGGACATAACATTGGAAAGTTAATTGGGTCCAGGTGGCAGAGGATCATGAATGCCAAGCTAATATTTTTGGACCCTATCCTATAAGGAAGAATTATCAAAAAGAATTGAGCAGAGAAATAACAATGAAAACAGTAAACTACATATAATCTCTATGTTCAACCAAAGTATTTATTTTATGATAGGATGTTTTGAGAATGTGTGTTGATGTGCATAAGTGTTAAGTATTAGAGTAGGGTCTACAATCTCTCATTTTGGACTTCAAGACCCATCTTTGAGATATCTTTGCTAGTGATTTCCTAGTTAAAACTCTGTTTAGGACCTAATGCTAATATTTTTAAGATAATGGAATTTGCTTATGATCTATTGCCAAATTGTAAAATGTAGCTATAAAAGAGTATACACAGCATAATCCCATATTGATGTAAAACTGCATACACATACATACATACACACACACACACACACACACACACACACACACACACCTGGAATTGGTAGTTTTTAAAGTATAGGGAGTGAACATAGGTGGTTTTCATTTTTTTTTCTCCTATTTGAACTTTCTCATTTTCCTGCAGTGTACACATCTCTCTTGTGTGCAAATAATGTGTGAGTGTCTGTGTGTTTACTGTGGCCTTTAATTCCCTGACCTAACCCCAGTCGTTAAGTATTTACTGAGTTCTTGGTCTTTCCCTAGCACAGTGTGTGGAAGAAAGCACTGTGAGTGATCAAAAAGTAAATAAAGGACAGAGCCTGGTTCTCTCCCCAAGGTGAGAGTGGAATAACAGAAGAAACAGGCAGCTATTTAAATTATGTGGTGCTTGGGGATGAGGTACAAACCAAAGTGGCGTCAGAAAAAGTGAGCTCGGGTCTGCAGCCTTCTTGGTAAGCTGTAAAGTGCTATAAAACATACCCATTCTTAGGTCCCATCAAGAGGCATTTCAGAATTACTTAGAAAACTTGTTTTAAAAATACATATGCCTGGGCTCCTCCCCTCCAGCTTATAATTTTAACAGATCTGGAAAGGGACCCAGACATCTGCATTTTATGAGGCTCTCCAGTTGAGAAGTGCTGGTCCAGTGTTTCTGGTTATTTCTCTTCCATTGAGACTGTGGGTGATGGGAAATGTCAAAGGAAACTTCCTGGTTGAGGTGGCCCCTGGCTGGGCCCTGTGAGATGTGGGAGAGGAGAAGCCACCTCTGGCCTGCACAATAGAGCAGTGTGTTCATTAGCCCAGTGCAGGTGAGGACACCTTCCCTGCTGGTCTCCACCATGGCTCGCCTACCCTCGTGCATCCTGGAAGCGGGTCCTGCTGCGACCCACCTTGGCAGGTCTGCTGTTCGGTCTGGGCTGTGACCACAGCTCCATTCCTGCTCCTGCCCTTTGAGCTTAGCTTTGCTTCTGCTCTAATTCCTCTCCACCCCTGTGCCTTCTCAAGTTCTCCTCCTCCAGGCAGCCCGCAGGACACAGAGCCCTATCGGGTCAGCTTGTGAGGAACCTTCCCCCAGGGTGTTCCAGTCACGGCTATGCCAGCACCACCTCCCAAAATCAGAAAGAAAAGCCTCTGCTGAAGCAGAGAGTGTATCTCAGTTTCCAGTGCAGCTGTACTGTTCGGCAGCCTCAGGCAAGCCACTGCAGCTGGCTGCTCCAGGCCATGTTACTCTCCCCACCAGCAGCCTCCACACCAACATTAGATCGATAACTCCTCCGAATGGCAGCCATGTGGAAAATGAGGTACAAGGCCAGGCTGTGAGGTGGGCTCTTTGTTGCTGCAGTGTGAGGGGAGTGGGCAATAGGATGGGCAGCTCAGAGAAAAACAGAGGCAAGAGCTAGTGGGGGCAGAGACCCTCCTGCCAGTGCAGGGCACAGGGTGGTATGGGGCATGGTCCAGCCAGAGAAGAAAGCTCACTGGTATCCCAAGATGACTTGGAGGAGTCTGGGCAAAGAACTCTGATTTTCTTCAGAATTCACATGATTGTTGCAGGCTGTGTGGGGGATAGAACAAGGCGGCGGAAAGAGGTTCCTGAATGATGGGGTGGCTTTAAGGAGGGTAGGCTTTGGGACCTGCCACAGGTCTATTTAACAGGTCCTGTCTCGCTTTCCTTCAACAGACACCCCCACCATAATACCCATTCTAAATCCCAAGTGCACAGTGGCCATGAGGCCAATCCCAGCTCCCAGTGAAATCGACAAGAGACAAAGATTGCCCATTGTCCTAGGCACAAGGTGGCAGAGGTGGGGCTGGAACTGCACCTGTTAATTCCTAGTTGGAAGTCTCTTGTTGTACCACACTGACTCTAGGTTCTTCCATGGAAAAGTTCTCTTCTCAGGTGCTGGGGGCCTCCTCCAGCTACAAGAAAGAGCCTGCTTAAGGACATTATGGTATAAGAAGAAGTATATACACATAAGTTCCCTAGGTATCTAGATAACTATATATCTCTCTCTGTATGTATATATATATATACACACACATATATATATATATACACACACACACACATATATATGTATATGTATATATATGTATAGTTCCTGTCTTCTTGACAGGGTCTCTGTCTTCCTGATACAACTCACACAGCACAGTTCTACACTCGATTTTGCTGCAGCAAAATCCTTGCAATGGGGTGGAGATTCGCCACACCAACATCTGGTGGATTCTGCCCTAGATATATGTGTAGCCAATACCATCAGTAAAATTGACTCAACACCAATGCTTTATAAGACGGCCTTTCTGATGGGGTCACATGTGGTGCCAGCTTTCAATTATCCACACAGGGAGGAAAGAGGGACTGAGCAGAGCTCAAAAAAAAGAAAGAGAGAGAGAGAGAACAAATTCAAGATAATAAATAAAAATCAGTCTGCAAATAATAGGCTGGGAGGATCATCTGTATTTGGATAATTGAGCTATGACCATAGGCAAGCCATTTATTCAACAAATTGTATGTAAACCAGGACTCCTATTTATTAATTTAAGCTGGAAATAAATGCACTGTCATGTGGCCCAGACACTCACATCTGTCTGACCGAACACGCATTCACTCCATCGGCAGGAGCTGCCGGGGAAGTCAAATTATCCAACTGTTGCTTGGTGAGTGTGGAATCAGTGCAGGAAGAACTTGCTTTGTGATTTAAATTCAGCAAAAATTTATTGAGCTTTATATGTCAGGCATCGTCCTGGGCAATGAGGACACAAAGATGTGATGCCCAACTTTGAAGAGGTTGCAGCCAATAGAGAAGTGTAGTTAGATGGTAATTTGATGTGCTCAATATCACAACAGAGTTATTAAACATATGTGCTTGGGTCCTGGAGGCCTGGAAAAGCATCATCCTTCTACGGGACCTTGAAGGATTCATAGGAGTTTGCCAGGTGACAGGGGATGTGTGGTAGGGGTGGATTTCAGGCAGTTGAAAGAGTATGTGCAAAAGCGCAAAGGCAGATAAGGGTGTGAAGGTTCACTGCGTCTGGTCTAGGGTGTGACATGGTGAAGTATTAGGCAATGCCAGATCGGGGTAGTGTTTGGGTGTTAAGGAAGTTAGATATTATTATGAAGTTTGGTAGCACTCAATAGCAGACTTACGTGGGACACATTTTAAAGACTATGAATACTCAGTGCCTGCCCTGAACACTGACCCAGAATCTCAGGAGAAACAGCCCAGCATTTGTATGATTGACAGGCTGCAAAGCTGATTCAGAGGTGCAGCCCACGAAGAGATTCTAACCCAGGAAATGGTGGGAGCACATTTTCAAACTCTTGATAGACTTAATAGAGGCGTTATTTTAAAGAAGGAGGAACTGATGATACAGAGAAAACAACATCCGGGCCGGGCAGTGGCTTACACCTGTAATCCCAGCATTTTGGGAGGCTGAGGCAGGCAGATCACAAGGTCAGGAGATCGAGACCATCCTGGCTAACACGGTAAAACCCTGTCTGTACTAAAAATACAAAAATTAGCTGGGTGTGGTGGCGTGCACCTGTAGTCCTAGCTACTTGGGAGGCTGAGGCAGGAGAATCGCTTGAACCAGGGAGGCGGAGATTGCGGTGAGCCAAGATTGCGTCATTGCACTCCAGCCTGCAGACAGGGTAAGACTCCGTCTCAAAAAAAAAAAAAAAGAAAAGAAAAGAAAAGAAAAGAAAACAACATCCATTGGTAGAGGTGGAGTCATGGAAAACCAGGGCTGGTATATCAGTCAGGATTCTCCAGAGAAATAGAACCAATAGCATATACATATACATATACATATACATATACATATACATATACATATACATATACATATACATATACACAGAGAGAGAGAGATGAAGACAGAGTCAGAGATTCATTTTAAAGAACTGACTCGCACAATTGTGGGGCAAGCAGGTCCAAATTTTTTCCTTTTTTTTTTTTTTTAAGAGGGCGTCTCACTCTGTCACCCAGGCTTGAGTGCACGGGCACGATCTCGGCCCACTGTAACCTCTGCCTCCTGGGTTTAAAAGATTCTTATGCCTCAGCCTCGTGAGTAGCTGGAATTACAGACGCCTGCCACCACGCCCCACTAACTTTTGTAGTTTTAGAAGAGATGGGGTTTCACCATGTTGGCCAGGCTGGTCTCGAACTCCTGACCTCATGTGATCCACCTGCCACAGCCTCCCAAGTGCTCACACCTCACAGATGTGAGCCACCACGCCGGCCAGCAGGTCCAAATGCTATAGGGCAGGCTGCAACGTCAGGTAAGAGCTAATGTTGCAGTCTTGAGCTGCATTCCACAGAGCAGCAAACTGAAAACCCAGGCAGATTTTCCATGTTGCCATCTTGAGAATTCATTCTTAGGGACACCTCAATCTTGGCTCACTTTGGCCTTCGACTGATTGGATGTGGCCCACCCACATTATGGAGGGTAATCTGCTTTATTCAAAAGTCTACTGATTCCAATGCTTATCACATCTAAAAAATACCTCCACAATCACATCTAGACCAGTGTTTAACAAAAAAAAACTGGGCACTGTTAGCCAAGTTGACACCAAATTAGCCATCACAGCTGAAACTCCAGCACGTGTGATACAGAAGTAGGGAAGGGAAGTTCTGGGTAGAGAAGGGTGTGGTCCCTGGCTAGGGCTCCACCCCTGGGCCTGTCCCCACGGACCTAGGTGAGAACAGGCATTTTTGTTTTCCTGCCCAAATGTTGCATTTCCCAAGACCACCCTGGCCTGCCACACCCACATCCTGTGCCTATAAAAATCCTGAGACCCTAGCTGGCAGACACACAGGCGGCTGGACATCAAGAGGAGCACATCAACGGAGGAACACACGGGTGGCTGGACGTCAAGAGGAACGCACCCATGTAGGAGCACTGCAGCACACCAGCAGGCCATTGACCCACGGAACAATGTGGAGTTTGACCTGGACTGTTGGAGAAGATTCAGCCGCCAAACAGCCTGACTCCAGGGGAAAACCATCTCTCTTCTGGCTCCCCCATCTACTGAGAGCTACTCCATTCAATAAAACCTTGCACTCATTCTCCAAGCCCATGTGTGATCCGATTCTTACGGTACACCAAGGCAAGAACCCGGGGATACAGAAAGCCCTCTGTCCTTGTGATAAGGCACAGGTCTAATTGGGCTGACTAACATAAGCCACTTAGGGACAGCTAAACTAAAGGAGCCCCCTTGCAACACACGCCCACTGGGGCTTCAGCTGTAAACATTCACCCCCAGACACTGCCGTGGGGTCAAAGCCCACAGCCTGCCTGTCTGTATGCTCCCCTAGAGATCCGAGCAGCAGGGCACTGAAGAAGCAAGCCACACCCCCACTGCACACCCTGCAAGGGGGACAATGGAATTTTTCCTGTTTCACTTGTACCACTGCACTCCTTTCTAGTTGAGAAGAATTTGGAAATGGCGAACAGTTTCTTGTGGTAAACAAGGCTCCAACTTCTAGGCCATTTCCCACCTTGAAATAAGGGTGTTCAATCCACCTCTGTGGGCAACAGCTTCTTGACGCAGAAAAAGGGGAACTGAACAGAGAGTGAACAAACTTGATGCGTGCTCCACGTCACCAAGCAGGGCCAGGCTGTGTGGTCTTTCTTAAGGAAACTAGTTAAGTTGTATTTCCACCTTACTGGGGCTGGGTCCCCTGGGCAAATGCAGTGACAGTCACTGGGTACTGCCAGTTCAATGCTTCATAAGAACAAATGTGCTGGTGCACAGTTCACTGATTTAACAATGCTGAGGCTTTGATAAACGGCCTCATAGATTTATATTTTCATCTCACAGATTTTTACATCACACAGTGAAAGATAGGAACGTGCTGCTTCATGGTGCAAAACTTACCCGCCAAGGAGAAGCCTTCCCGCAGGTGCAGGGGAGCCTGGGCAAAGCCTGCGGCAGCCCCACTCACTCTTCCGACTTGCACCCCTAGCCACATGTCTGCCATGGGGGAAGCAGTAGGCTGCTGCCTCCAGTATCCTGGAGCAAGAAAAAAACACATTGTATTTTTATTACATTGATCTAAATCAGTGACTGTGGTCCCATCTAAATCTTATTCCACCTTTTTGATGGCAAAAAATAAAAACTCAAAGTAAATGTCATAAAGACATTGAACTATTACATTGTTTCAAAGGACATTTAAACCTGAGAGGCCTTAAATCCCCATTAATACTATGAATTCTCTAGAGATGGAGAATGGGCAGGAACTTGCCCAAATTCACTGCCCTGCTCTAAAACCAGAGCTTTCAGATTCCAATTTATTGGTCAGCCTTTCTATTCCTTTCTTCCTTCTTGCTTCCTTCCTTCTTGCTTCCTTCCTCTCTCTTCCTTCTTCCTTTCTTCTTCCTTCTTCTTTCCTTTCCTCCTTCTTCCTTCCTTTTTGGTCTATATTTTTAGCACAAAGCATTTTAAACACACTGTGTCTGTCATGCTTTTTTTTTTAAGTTCTGGGATACATGTGCTGAACGTACAGGTTTGTTACATAGGTATACATGTGCTATGGTGGTTTGCTGCACCTATCAACCCATCATCCAGGTTTTAATCCCCACATGCATTAGGTATTTGTCCTAATGCTCTCCCTCCCCTTTCTCCCCACCTGCCAACAGGCCCTCGTGTGTGATGTTCCCCTTCCTGTGTCCATGTGTTCTCATTGTTCAGCTCCCACTAATGAGTGAGAAAATGCGGTGTTTGGTTTTCTGTTCCTCTGTTAATTTGCTGAGGATGATGGTTTCCAGCTTCATCCATGTCCCTATGAAGGACATGAACTTTTTTATGGCTGCATAGTATTCCATGGTGTATATGTGCCACATTTTCTTAAGTATCTAGAAGCAACACTCAAAATATGAGCTGCAGGTCTGACCTGATGTGAAAACAGCCTCCATGGCTGCTACCCAGCACTGAGTTCAATGAAATACCAAGAAGCTGACCTTATCACCCTGGCCCCCATGTCCTGAGCAGGCAAGCCACCTGTAAGTCAGGAACTTGACTCTGCAGCCTCTGGGAAACCACGCCTGCAGCATCTGAAATCCAGATGCCATAACGATCACCAACAATGGGTCCTACTTTCCTCAAATTGCTCACATTAAGCCATTGAAATCCCACACAGCTGCATTCTGGCTGCAAGGGAGGCCGGGAATGTGAGCTCTGGATTCTATGGTCAGATCCTAGGATCTTGCAGATCCAGTCGTTGAGTCAGGGGCTGAGTTCAGCTCTAGGTGGGAGGCTGTGCTGGTCCTCAGTACAGCCTCAGGGTCTCCTGTATGATTCTCCATCCTGCTGGTTGGGAATTAGCGTAAATCTCAGAATGAGATTTACACAATTATGGTGCTTGAAGAACCGAAATGCTTTGGGATCCACTTTTGAATTTCTCTCTATTTCTTCCTGGAAATAACCTAAGCTTCAAGAGACACAAACACCGTTGCTCCCAAATCTGACCTGTCTCCAATGTCCCGCCTTGCTAGCTTGTCTAACTTACAATCTCACTTCTGTCTTTCCCACTCTGGTAGAAAGTCCACACCCACAGGACAAAGTCAACGACACAGAAGAGGGCAAATAACACCGTATTTTCTAGCTAAAGATTCCACCTTTTCAGAGCTCTGAAATACTTAGTCTTTTTTCATAAGAGATTAAGAAACAACTATGGTATCCTTAGCTCCTCTCAGACTATACCTGAACAGCAGAGGTGAAAGCCATTTTTGAATGAACTTTCAGAGAAACATGGAGCCCTGGGCCTGGCTGGAGAAGCTTAAATGGAGCACAAAGATTTTTACAGAATGTCCTTAAAACCTCCCTATATAGCCAGCGGAATGGATGTTCAAACACCACATTCAGCTTCATTCTCTCCATCTTCCTTATTCTCTCTTCTCCCACGGGAAACTTTAGGCCGAAAAGGTGTTGAATTGTGTCCCACAAAAGGTCATATGTTGAAGCCCTAATGCCCAGTACCTCAGAACGTGACATTATTTGGAAATAGGATCATTACAGTTATATTAGGATGAGGTCATTATTTGAGTAGAGTGGGCCCTAATCCAGTGTGACTGGTGTCCTTATAAAAAGGGAAATTTGGAAACAGACACAGGAGAACGTGATATGAAAATGAAGGCAGAGGTGGGTGACCAGGGGCAGTAGCTCATGCCTGTAATCCAAGCACTTCGGGAGACCAAAGTGAAAGGATTTCTTAAAGCCAGTTCGAGACCAGCTTGGACAAAAAAGTGAGACCCCGTCTCTACAAGAAAATGTTAAGAATTAGCCGGGCGTGATGGCATGTGCCACTGGTTACAGCTACTCAGAAGGCTGAGGCAGGAGGGTGGCTTGAGCTCTGGAGTTCAAGGCTGCAGTGAGCATGATGGTGCCACTGTACTCCAGCCTAGGTGACAAAGTGAGATCCCCTCTCTAAAAAAAATAATAAAAGAAGACAGAGATTGGGTTGATGCTTCTATAAGCCAAAGCATGCCAGAGCTTCCAAGAAACCACCAGAAGCCAGGGGAGAGAGAGAGGCCTAGAAGAGATTCTCCCTCACAGCCTTCCGATGGAAGCCAGCCTGCTGACACCTTGACCTCAGACTTCTGGTTTCCAGAACTGTGAGATAAGGAAGCCATCAAGTTTGTGGTGCTTTGTTTTGGCAATCCTAACAAACCAACTGAGAAGGCTGCAGCTTGGAACTGTAAATCCCAAAGTTTCTTAAGCAAGTAACTCAGGAGAAGTTACTTACCTCCTCTTAAAGGGGGAGGTGGGCAGGCAGCCACATATACCTTCAGTTTAACTAGTATGACTGCAGGAATAAATCAAAACACCCCCACCTTGGCCTCCAGAGTTCTCCCACATGCCTCCAACATCATCTCCCACTGCTCTTCCCGAAGCCCTACACCCCAGCACCACCTAACTTCTCACGGGTCCCCCAATATACCAGCCCTGGTGGGTCATGGTGCTCTGCCCTCCCATGTGCCATGGCTTCTGCTGGAGTGCCCCTTCCCCTTCATCAGTCCTTCTCCTTATGCCAGAAACATACCTAATCTTCCATAAAAACACAGCTCAGATGGTGTCTCCTGAATGCAAACTCCCTGATACCCTTGGCCAAAGCCAAATTATTCCCTGCCACACATTCTCCTCACAGGCGATTTATCTTACTACTATCACACCTTCCACCTACCGTATAATTTATCAATTTGCTCGTCTGTCTCCCCACCACACTGAGAACACCTGGAGGACAGAGATGGCACTTAAGTCATTTTCAACGTTTCTATGGCATCTGGATCATGTGTCCAGGAAATCAGCCCCTCTGTAACTTCAGATCTTGTGCCACCTATTCTAAAAGTTAAAAAAGGGCTGGGCATGGTGGCTCACACCTGTAATCCCAGCACTTTGGGAGACCGAGGCAGGCAGATCATGAGGTCAGGAGATCGAGACCATCCTGGCTAACATGGTGAAACCCCATCTCTACTAAAAATACAAAAAATTAGCCAGGCGTGGTGGCAGGCACCTGTAGTCCCACCTACACGGGAGGCTGAGGCAGGAGAATGGCGTGAACCCTGGAGACAGAGCCTGCAGTCAGCCGAGATAGCACCACTGTACTCCAGCCTGGGTGACAGAGCCAGACTCCAACTCAAACAAACAAAGTTAAAAAAAAAATCACTGGCAAATAGATCCTGAACGTTATAATTTTGTATTCCCCTGGCTAAACACTATGATTCCTTTATAGACAACCCTCATTTTATTCCCTTACACAAATATAGTAACCTGTTATGATCCTAAATATTTTTCAGAACAAATATGCAGGCCTCTTTCAAATACAGTACCCCTACCAACTAGACTTTTTGAAAGTTTGGCTGGTGACCCCAAGGCCCTCCTCCTCCTCCTCCCCTGGGAGGTATCTTCATGTCCCACCCTCCCTACCTGTGGATCATGGGGCTTCTCTTCCCTGGTGGGTGAAAAGGCAAATCTTAGAAGGGGTCTTGGATTTTACTCAAGTGTGAAAGAAAGCCTGGTCTTTTAACGTATGAGGTTGCTGGCTGGTGTAGACAGTCCCCCTCCTTTCCAGAAATGCAATTCTTATAAACAGCAAAGTCTTGTTTTTGAACTCCAAATCTGTGGTCTTTTTTCCTACAGCATGTGGGCTGTGCACCATCAAAGTCTAGTGAGACAGCGATGAGAGAATAAAAACTAAAAGAGGAATGCATATGGAAATACAAAATTTCATAATATATTTAATAACATAATTGATGGATCTCGTTTTCTCTTCTTTCCTTCAAAATTGCTTTTTTTCACAAACTCATAGTTTTCTTTTCCTTAAGCCCACCTATTTTTCCCCATTCTCCCCTGTTCTGCCCCTGCTGTATAATGGAAGGTAAATACTGGCACAGTTCTCAGTTTGCCCAGATGAAGGAATTCAACGATGCTGACATGAGGAAGCGCCAAGTCAGCTGCAGCACCTCTAGAATCCAATGACATTTTGGGGGAATCTGAATGAGGTAATTATTGCATGAATGTAAATTTGCTCCGGGAAAGAAAAATAATGGAGGAAAATGGTTGAACATTTCCACTGGAAAAGCTTGTTCACCCTGAGCTAGTATGGAAGCAAGGATCCCCACAACTTGACTTACCAGTATGCCAAGGGTCATCCCCTGAGGAAGTGCCACATTCACCAGGGTTCATGTCTCACTCTGGTTTTCCTCACACTGCACCTACTTGGGAAAGCAAAGGCCACAATGAAGCCATCTTAGCTTCAGTTACAGAGGCTGACATACAAGGTTTATCGCCATGCCTCCTTCCTCTATTCCTTTACTGATCTTCCTTGACTTCTTTGTTCAAAAGCTAAAGCCTCCTTTTGCAGTCCCCACTCCTGTATAACAGGTATTATGCTAGATGCTGCGGATATCAAGATGAAATACACATATGCACACCAACACACACACACAAAAACATACACACGACTACATACATGCACACACACATGCATGCACACGCACAACCAATCACATGCACAAACATGCACACAACGGATACATACACAGGCATGCATGCACATACAAACACACACACACACACACACACACACAATCACACACATACCCTGCTCCTGAGGAGCGCAGTTGAGGAGTGGGGCTAGTCAGCTGAGGAAAGTCAGGAAGGACTTTGCAGAGGGCTAAGGTGCCGAGTTGAAATCTGAAGGGTGAGGAGGAAGACAAACAATGGAAGAGAGAGCACTTTGGGGAAGAAAAAGAGCACAGATGAGAGGGCTGAAGGAGCCTGGCACATTCAGGGTACTCGTATAGCTCAGTACTTCTAGAGAATAAAAGCATCCAGAACTCCAGCTTCTCTCAGCTTGGGCCAAGGTTAAAGACTCAAATTGCAGCCCAGGCATTCTCCCTGAGTCAGTGGGGCTGGAGACGGAGAAAATAAACTGTGGCTTCACTATATATTTGGACATCCAGAGTCCCGGGAGCAGAAGATCAGGTGAAATTAACATGTGTTTCTATACCAAGCCCTCCTCAGCAAAGATATAGCCCTCCCTCAGTGGCATAAAGCCAATCACGTGATTGTATGAGTGGATAAGCCAAGAACACCAGCAAACTGGTCTCTCCAAATAAAAAAATAAATAAATGAGCATTTGATTGGATCACTTAACCATAAGCCTTATGAGGGCAGAGATTCAACAGCCTCCTCTGCAATCTAAGTCATATCTGATTCCTCTCTGCTCTCACCAGACACATCCAGTGCATCCAAAGACACCCCAAATCCCTCTACTCTTCTCCTTCTTCAAGGCCACCACCCTCACCCAAGCCAGCTATTGTCTGGATTCTTGAAGCAGCTCCTACCTGTTCTCCCCTGCATCTTCTCCTCTCCCATCACGTATCCCAAACTTTGAGAAATCTAATGCAGGTCATGTCACCCTGCTTGAAACCACCCAGTGGATTCCATTTTATTATACATATGGTGGCTGACAGCACAGCTCTGCAACCAAGTCCTGGATTTAGCTCTGAGTTCAAATCTTAATTACCCCATGCCTCAGTTTTCTGCACTGTAAAATGGGGTTGATAATCTCATACCATTTTGTGAGAACTAAATGAGTTACTATATGTAGTATTTGCTGATACTGGGTTTTTATTAAAATAAAATCTAATCTTTTTATTGTGGCCCCTGACTATGTCTGTGGCCTCATTATGACCCTCTTTGCCCCTCACTAGGTGATAAATAGCCACACTGAACTTCTTCTTGATCTTTAAATAGATCGAAGTTATTTTGAGCTCAGCGCTTTTACCTTTGTTGTTCTCTTCCAGACACCCTTCGGCCCAGATCTTCACATGCCTGGCTCCCTTGTCTCATTCAGAGACAAGCAGAGATGTCACCACTGATTTCCCTCTAGCTTCCCCTCTGCCATGTCCTCCACACACACATCCCCCCACACACATACACACACACTCATGATTACCCTATTGGTTGTCTTCATAGTGTTTATCGTGAGCTCCATGCATGTTACTTATTTATTGGTCTAATTAATTATTACTCACCTTTCCCCAAATAGAAGGAAAGCTTCAGGGAATGAAAACCTGTAGAACAGTGTCTGGCACATGGAGGAAACTGAGAACATGTGTGCATGATGAATGAATGAATGAATGAATCAGTGTATTAGCACCCTGTATGTGCTTATTGAACCCACTGAAGGAAGCTCTAGCCCCTCCTGGAAATGGAAACAAACTAAAGTTAAAGGAAACTCCATCCCTGCCATGTGACAGATGTGGAACTCTTATGCCATGTGATCCAATTAGGATTGCTCTTGAAAGGGCATTATTCTTGGATATGATTACACCATCTGTCCTAAAAGCTTTCATGATTCATGATCAGATAAGCACTGAACCCCATTTGGCAGGTCTCATAAAGAGACTCTATCTTCTCCACTGGGTTCTGGCCATGTGTGGGCAGTGTTTTGACATTTTCAGATGAAATATGGGCTCAAATGAAAAACACATAAGTACTGAGATGACATGGGCAGGGGAGGAATATTGCACTCTGTAAACTCTCAGAGTGTAACCAGGCTAAGGAGGATAAATCCAAGTATAGAAAAATGTGGAGAAACATCACCCAATGGGAAACCTTGTTAAATTCTGGTTTTATCTCCCTAAAGAAATTGCTAGAGGCTATATTGCATGTAGCAGGACAAAGACTCGGAGCACACAACACCTGGATGTTGTAGAAGGTCCCAGAAGCACAGATTATGACAGAAGAGGACTTGGATCAAACTACTGAGCCTAGGGAAGTGACCACTACCCCATTTTAAGGATCAGGAAAAGGAACTGTATGTGGGACACGATGGCTCATGCCTGTAATCTCAGCACTTTGAGAGGCCGAGGACAGGTGGATCACTAGAGGTCAGGAGTTTGAGACCAGCCTGGCCAACATGGTGAAACCCCGTCTTTACTAAAAACATAAAAATTATCTGGGCATGGTGGTGGCTGCCTGTAATTCCAGCTACTTAGGAGGCTGAGGCATGAGAAACACTTGAACCCAGAATGTGGGGGTTGCAGTGAGCCGAGATCGTGCCACTGCACTCCAGCCTGGGCAACAAAGAGAGAGTCTGTGTCCAAAACAAAACAAAAAGAAAAAAAAAGAAAAAAAAAAACACTCTCACCTGGGCAACATAGTGAGAACCTGCCTTTCAAAAAAAATTTTTTTAATGAGCTGAGCATGGTGAATATACTTCCGGCTAGTTGGAAGGATGAGGCAGGAGAATTGCTTGAGCCCGGGAGGTTGAAGCTACAGTGAGGTATGATCATGCTACTCCAAGCCTAGGCAACAAAGTGAGACCCTATCAAAAGAAAGGGAAAGAGAAAGAGCAGGGGGAGGGAGAGAGAGAGACACAGAGACAGAGACAGGGAGGGAAGGAGGGAAAAGGAAGGGAGGGAGGGACGGAGGGAAAGGGGGCGTCAATAACTGTTGGTTTTGCCTGCCTGTCCACCATTTCTCCTCCTGCTGATGAGACAAACTCTTTTTTCCTTTCAGAAACCACTTACTCCCCATTCTTGTGTCTTGTGGTTTGGGTAGGGCTCATGCTAGATCCCAGGGTTTAGTGATGATTTGGGTGGAGCTAATCAGAGTGTTGCACCCCCTGGCTACGTGATTAACTCAAGGATAAACATGTGACACACACCACACAAAAGAGATATTCTGGGATTTTCTTTTTCTGAAACTATTGAGAAAGAGCAGCTTTTTGTCTGTAGAGGTTGCTAAACTCTAGGAATAAACACATCTCGGGCTGCCAGCAGTCAGTTTTATTCTCTTGAAGACAGCCTGCCTAAGAATGTAGCCAACACAAAGGTAGGCTAAAGCTAAGTAGTGGAGGAAAACGAATTCCAGAACAAACCAGGTCTCTGGCTAAAACAAGCACTGAATATTTCAATTACATGAGCCCCAAATGCCTGAAACCCCTTATCATAATTAAACTCTGTGGTATAATAACAATATGTATTTGGTCTTTGTCCCTAGTACAGAACTCCTAAAACCCTTGGAATTTGCTGAGGGGTCAGAGCATCTTTTATTATTCATAATGAATCCCTTTTGATCACACCTGAGTTTATAATCATGAGTTTACTTAGATTGGGGCTTCTAGATAGCTTCAGGATGGCTGGTCATCAGAAAGACCAAGTGATAAGAGGATTGGTACTTTCAGCCCCACCCACTGACCTCTGGGAAGAGCAAGGGGGCTGGAGATTAAGCTCTATAAAACTCTCAAACAACAAACTTGGGGAGCTTCCGGGTTGGCGAAGGTGCTGGAAGGGTAGCAAGGCCTAAGAGATCATGAAAGCTCTGCACCCAACACCCCCAAGACCTGGCTCTCTGCATGTTTTCCATTTGGATGTTCCTAAGTTGTTTCCTTTATAACTCAGTAACAGCAGGCAAAGTGCTTTTCTGAGTTCTGTGAGTCACTCTAACAAATTATCAAACCTGATGGGGAGGGTCCTAGGAATCCCCAAATTTATAGGTGGTCAGCCAGAAGTACTGGTGGCCCCTAAATCTTGCAACTGGCATTGGAAGTGCGGGAAGTCTTGTGAGACTGAGTCTTTAACCTGAGAGATCTACATTACCTCCAGGTCGTTGATGTCAGAATTGAATTGAATTGTTGGACACCAGTTGTTGCTGGAGAACTGGTTGTTGGCATGGATAAAAGACATATATTTAGTATCAGAAGCAGCATCAGAAGAAAACGCCATGTAAACCCATTCCCATGGGATTTTCTATCACTTGCAACCAAGAGTCCTGACCAGTTCAAGAATCCCAGGCTTAGAAATTTGCAGTAACTCACTCAGGGCCACACAGCTCAAAAGCAACAGAACTGGGCACTGAACCAGGTCTCTGGTAGTCCATAAACCCAGTGTCTTATCTGCTGACCTGCTCTTTCCCCAAGAGGGGCACCATGGAAGCATTTCCAACCACAGGTGGTAGGTGGCACCTAACAGTTTCATCAACTCTTGAAACTCCAAGTTTCTATCACTGTAACAATCTCCCCCACAGATGACTGTAAGAGAGTTTACACACAAACTCCAAAGAAGCAGTATCCTCCAGGGAAGCAAACCCAGTACTGCTCTTGTCCTGACACTCTGAGTGCCCTACACAATGTCATCTGTGAGTGTGCATTCTAAATTCAGCCCAGGACATACTGGTCAACTCTATTTCCTGAACAAAGTTCAGCAGTAGGGTTGAGGAAAATAACATCTCTTTAGCTTGGACTCAAGTAGTGAGAAGGAACTCAATGAACTATCTAAAATATTGGCTGCTTGCTCTTTTTATTTTCTAATTTCCTCTTACCACTCTAAAATAGATTATAGTATCCTTCTGGCAAAGACCACATCTTAGACACTTCAGTGTTTCCCTCAGCCTCCAACACTGTGCCTTGTGCATAAGAAAATATGTTGAGTGCTGACTAATTCAGGACCTTTGCTGGTCCTGGTTTGATTCCATTATCTCTGTCTCCTTCCAGACCCAATGCTTCTAAGTCTGATTCTAGGAAGTCTTTTTCCAAGCCTATTTAACTTTCCTAAGATACTTGTTTTCCCAGATGTTTGTCACATGTGTTGTGCTGATGGGCTGTGAAAATAATCTTGTTCAATATCAGCTCACCCCACATTTAAAATAAAATGGCAGCTGGGAAGAAGCAGAGCAGTGAATGGCGAGGGTGATCATAAACAGGGCTAGAAATAGAACAAATGTGGGCATTTAGGAGAGAGGAGACTGTGCAGGAGGGGAGGCACATACCCCTGTGGCTGGGCATATCTGAATTTAATGGAATAAGATGAACTTAGAGCAAGAATTGAAGTGAGGTTAGAGTGCTCAGCACCAGAAAGGCTGAACAAAAAGGGGTGCAGGATACCTGGAGTAGACAGTTGGGGTGAGGGGACTGTCATTCATCAACTGCTCACATGGGCAAGACCTAGAAGTTCAGTGCCATGAATTTCAGGGAGGCCACTGTGTAGAAGAGAGAACACGATCCAGCCAGCCTGGTTCTCTTTCTGAAGACCTGTGTGATTTCTTCTCCAGCTTTGCACGTGCTCATTCCTCTGCCAGGTAAGATTTCTCCTTCCAATCTTGCCTCGGATGTTATCTCCTCTGGGATCCATCTCTACAAATCATAACGCCCCCTCACCGCCAATCTTACATGGTCACGTGCTTTGCCACACACAGTGTAGCATTTTACTCTACGTCCGGGATCAGGCCTCCGTTATATTATACTACACTTTAACTTTTATAGGATGTTTTCACCCTGTTATTCAAGCTTCCTGGCTACCCTGGGAGATTGTGTTTTATTCACCCCATTCGATATATGATATAAACTGAAGATCAGAGAAGCTGAGAGCATCACTCAAGGACCAGGCTCATGATGCTCAGGACAAAACTAAGCCAACTCTACAGCACAAGTTCAATGTCTTCCCACTTCACCAAGTTGCCCAAAGGATTAGCTGGAGGGAGAGCTCTGTGTGCATATAAGAATGGAGCTCTCCAGGGTTCTTTGTCATAGTCTTTTGGGGGGGAAAATGGGCTTCCTGGTATTGATGGTCATATTGAACATAAAAGTTACTTTTATTCTATTTCTTTCACCTTTGTGCCATATTACAAAATGGGCATATGCCAGATTCTGGGATTAGCACCCTTATACCATTGAAGGCAAAAACAAAAACAAACAAAAAAAAAAGACAAGAGTGTCCAAACAGAAGACCCTAGAGCTGCTCCCTATAGACCACTAACCTGTCCTACCTTGATGCACATGGAATAGAAATGGCAGAATCTAGGCACATATCAGATGTTCTTAGCCACCATCCTCCTAAGGCAGTGATGAGGAGACACCATTATCTCACCAAACATCCATTAAGTCTTACTGGGTTCTGGGAGTACAGAGTGAATGAATGCATAAGATGAGCCCCTGTCTCAAAGTGTTCAAAATCTTGTGGGGAAAATAGATTTGAATGTCCTGTTCTTTTATTATGATTCTGTTACTCTTGTTCATTCTTTTTTCTTTCCTTCCTGCTTCAAACGTATTTTATGCGGGTTTTTTCAATGTATTTTGTAATTTTTATTTCCTGGGGTATTATTTTGCTAAATAGTACTAAATGTGCTAAACATGCTCCACTTGTTGTTTCAGCTGACTCTACCTCTTTGTGGTTGGTTTTCTTACGTGGTTTAATTATTACTGCTGCTGCTGTTGTTAGGTCATCTTTAACAAGTGTTGTATTCCCTATAGGATTTTAATGGACTCTGGGTTGTAAAATATAACACAGCAGCATTAGGTTTGCTTTTGTTAGGATCCTGGTACATAAATGGTCTTGAACCACTTTTACGTTAATCCCTTGCCTTTCAGTAATTGACGCCCAGTTTGGATACAGACCTGGAGTTGTAATTTCCCTTTAATAACTTTAATGTTCGTGGGCAGGGCTTTTCTAGGCCCAAGACCAAGGGGCACTTGGAGGCTCTCCTCTCCCTACTCTTCATAGGCCTCTGATCAGGTCTCTGGCTGCTCAGTAGGAAATAAAAAATCAGTCTCTAGGACATAGAGCCTTTATCCAGCCTAAAACCCCAGCCAGTTGCAGCAGTAAAATCCCTCTCTCATTCTCACTCTTACCATCCTCTGTGTTTGTGGCACCTGGGGGCTTCCCTTTTCTCTCCTTTCAAGCTCAGTCACATTTTAGTGTTTGATTGTATATAGAATATTTGTCTTATAGCAAACAAACTGTCACCATGTTGCTGGAAGCCCCAAATAGAGACTTAGACACCATAATAAAGAATTTTGATTTCTTTCTGAGGAAAGCAATGGAGCCTAGAAGGTTCCACAGCGACCTCCTTCGCTGACAATGCTGATGACTGGAAAATCTGCTCTGGAGCCAGCAGCTGCCTGGAGCCCTGGAGACAGAGGCTGGTGCCGACTCGGCTTTGAATGCACCTGGGACCCTTAGCAGCTCGCCAGGCTTCTCTAGAGCCGACTCCTTCTCCCTAGTGAACAGCATCCCTCCTCTGTGTGATCCAAGCAAGGGTGAAGGAGTTCAGAGAAGTCTACGGAAAGGAGAAAGGCCAGATGCTGGGAGTGACCTACAGTAGTCCCCCTTATCTGAGGTTTCATTTTCTGCAATTTCAGCTACCTATAGTCAACCACAGTCCAAAAATAGCTAAGTATCATACAGTAAGATATTTTGAGAGAGCAAACTCACATTCCATAAATTTCATTATATAATTGTTATATTTTATGTAAATTTCTTACTGTTTCTAATTTATAAATTACATTATCATAGGTATGTATATATATATTTTTTAAAAAAGGCCAGGCCAGGCGCAGTGGTTCATGCCTGTAATCCTCACACTTTGGCAGTCTAAGGCGGGTGGATTGCCTGAGCCCAGGAGTTCAAGACCAGCCTGAGCAACATGGTGAAACCCTGTCTCTAAAATACAAAAAATTAGCCAGACGTGGCAGCATGCGCCTATTGTCCCAGCTACTCAGGAGGCTGAGGCAAGAGAATCACTAGAACCGGGGAGGTGGAGGTTGCAGTGAGCCGAAATCGCACCATTGCACTCAGCCTGGGCCAAAGAGTGAGTATCTGTCTCTTAAAAAAAAAAAAGAAAGAAGAAGGAAAGAAATTTTTAAAAACACCATAGTATATATAGCGTTTGGTACTATCCACGGTCTCAGGCACCCACTGGGGGTCTTGGAACATATCTCCCATGGATAAGGGGAGGCTACAGTACAGAGGGAATTGGGTGCCAGGGGGAGGACCCCAGGAGGGTGAAGTGAATAAGGATGGCACCACCCATGACTTCCAAAGACCAGCAAGGCATGGAATTACAACAGATGGAATGAAGGAAGAGGACCCAATGTTTACATGGGAACTACTCAGTGGACTCCTCCATGAAGTTCTTTTTTTTTCTTTAATTTCAACATTTATTTTGGATTCAGAGGGTACATGTGCAGATGTGTTACATTGGCATATTGCTTTATACAGAGATTTGGAGTTTGACTGATCCCCATCGCCCAGGTAGTAAGCATGGGACCCAACAGGTAGTTTTTCAGCCCTTGCCCCCCTCTTTTGGAGTCCCCAGTGTCTATTCTTATTTTGTGTCCATGAGTACCCACTGTTTAGCTCTCACAAGTGAGAACATATGGTATTTGGTTTTCTGTTCCTGCGTTAATTCGCTTAGGACAATGGCCTCCAGCTGCATTCTTGTTGCTGCAAATGACATGATTTCATTCTTTTTTATAGCTGCATAATATTTCATGGTGTATATGCACCACAGGTTCTTTATCCAATCTACCATAGATGGTCATCTACGTTGATTCCATGTCTTTATTATTGTGAATAGTGCAGCAGTGAACATACAAGCCCATGTGTCTTTTTCACAGAATGAGACAGTAATGGGATTGCTGGGTCAAACTGTAGTTCTGTTTAAGTTCTTTATACTCTCTCTTTTAAAAAAATATTAATAGACTTTGTGTTTTAGAAACAAAGCTTTTTCAGAAAAGTTGAGCCTAAAGTACAGAGAGGTCCCATATGCCCCCTCTCTCTCCTTCTACTCTAGTTTCTCCTATTACCATCTTGCTTTGTGTGGTACATTTGTGCTGGATGGATATCGATACGTTATTATGAACTAGTGTCCATCATTGACTTCAGGGTACACTTCTTGCACTGTACACTTAATGGATTGTGACATATGTACAATGGCATATATCTACCATTGCAGTATCATACAGAATAGTTTCACTGCCCTGTCTCATTTTTAGAACATTACATATTTAGAAACATAAGATTAACATATCATCCAGCAATTCTGGGTAAATACCCAAAAGAATTGAAAGCAGGGTCTCAAACAGACATTTGCACACCCATGTTCATACCAGCATTCTTCACAACAGCCAAAAGAAGGAAACAATCCAAAGATCCATCTATGGATGAATAAACAGAAGGTGGTATATACATACATGTACTGAAATGTGGTATATAATACAATAGAATATTACTCGGCCTTGAAAAGGAAGGAAGAATACATGCACAGTATGTTTATTGCAGCACTACTTACAATAGCAAAGACTTGGAACCAACCCAAATGCCCATCAATTATAGACTGGATAAAGAAAATGTGGCACATATACACCATGGAATACTATGCAGCCATAAAAAAGAATGAGCTCCTGTCCTTTATAGGGACATGGATGAAGTTGGAAACCATCACTCTCAGCAAACCAGCACAGGAACAGAAAACCAAACACCACATGTTCTCACTCATAAGTGGGAGTTGAACAATGAGATCGCATGGACACAGGGAGAGGAACACCACACACCAGGGCCTGTCAGGGGGTGGGAGGCAAAGGGAGGGATAGCATTAGGACAAATACCTATGCATGTGGGGCTTAAAACCTAGATGATGGGTTGATAGGTGCAGCAAACTACCACAGCAAATGTATAGCTATGTAACAAACCTGTACATTCTGCATATGTATCCCAGAACTTAAAGTAAAATTTTTAAAAAAAAAAGGAAGGTGGAATGGCACATGCTACAATATGGATGAACCTTAAAGACATTATGCTGATTAAAGTAAGCCAACCACAAAAGGCCGCATATTGTGTGATCCCACTTATATGAAGTACCTCAAATAGTCAAATTTCTAGAGACTGAAAGTAAAGTAGAGGTTACCAACAGCTGGAGAGAGGAAGGAATGGAGATGTAGTGTTTCATAGGAACAGTTTCCATTTGGAATGATGAAAAAGTAGTGGAGAGGGATGGTGATGATAGCTGTACAATAATGTGAATGTTCTTAATGCCACTGAACTGCACACTTAAAAATGGTTAAAATGGTAAATTTTATGTATATTACACCACGATACAAAATAAACAAACAGAAAAATACATCTATAGACCTTATTCCCAAAATGTTTTAAAGAAGCATGGTGTCTTAATTCTCTCAGAGGCTATATAAGGTGACTACCTTACTCAGTTTGTAGAGATATTTGATAACTCTCCAGCCAGGGCCATTTGTGTCACCCAGTGTGACCAACACTGTCATCCTGTGCACTTTTTTCTACAGGAAGTTCTAAGCCAGTCTCAACCCAGATCATGACATGGAACAGCAAGCACTCACCATTCTCTACCAGGAACCACACAAGAGAAGGGCAAGAAGAGACATAGGCTATAGTGGCCACTGCCAACAAAGAAAAATGCCTTTCCTGGGTCCATGAACTCAGTGGTTGGAAAATCTGGTTTGGATGACCCTTTTCTCCCCTAACATCCCACTGTTTTACATTTTTTGGCTTAAATGCACAATCAGCTGTTGACATTCTTCATCAGTGGTAGAACAAAGACAACACCATTTTCCCACGTGTTTGAGTTTTCAGCTTTGACAATTGGAACCGAATTGGAGGAATTATTTATCTCATTGCTCATTCCTCCCTCTACCCCAAAGCAAATTCTCAGTCTGTGCCTGCCAACCCATAATGACACTCTTGTGCATTCCTCTTGTTCTGCCTGCCTTTTCCCTCTCCCTTCCCCACACCCCCAACACACAGGTGGAAATTAAAAGCCAGGTTTGCCAATGCTGGAAGTCATATATTGAAGTTGGAAATAAATTGAAAATGAGCAAGCTGGAGCAACATAACAGAGCTCTGTGCCCAAGGCCTGATAAGCCACCCACACCAGTTCTTTCTGCTCCTGACAATGTGTTATGATTGCGTAGCTGAGTCACCTATACCAAATGATAGTAATTCAGCTCAATCATGTAAAAAATCAGAAATGCACAGCCATCTGGTCACAGGCTTACTCACCTATCCGGGCCACCCATTGACATACTGTTGGCAGAAAAGGGCATAGAAGGTGGTAGGTAAAAGGGAGGGCATGGATAGAGGGATGGCACTAAATGGCTTAGGGCCTTGGTTCTAAAACTTTGCCTCTGTCCCATCTTGTTGAAGTAAGCATTATGACACATGGCCATAATAGAGGTTCAGACAAGAATCTCCCCCATTTCTTCTATTCATTGCTGGAGATCTTTACAAGTGAAACAAACTCACTCTAACTCTACCATTTTTTCTAATGCACTTGGAAAAGATAAAGACAAAAGGCAATATTCATTGGTAACAACTTTGCAATAAAACCTCACTTTCATATATTGTTTGTTAGGGGATAAATTAGTATAATTACAGGGAAGCATGTTGGCATTAATGTATCAGGATTTTTAAAGTTATTCCAACCTTTAGACAGCCTTCTAAGGTAATTCTCTGTTATATCCTAAGGAAATAATCAGAGATAAGCACAAAAATTAATGTTACAAGAATTTTCATTTCTGCATTTCTTACAATAGCAAGAGTAAGGGAGAGAAAGAGAGAGAGAAGGAAGGAAGGAAGGAAGGAAGGAAAGAAAGAAGGGAGGGAGGGAGGAAGGGAGGGAAGGAGGAAGGGAGGAAGGGAGGGAAGGAGGAAGGGAGGGAGGGAGGGAGGGAGGAAGGGAGGGAGGAAGGGAGGGAGGAAGGGAGGGAGGGAAGGAAGGAGGGAGGAATTCAAATGTCCTATAATGAAATAAATGGTTTAAAAATTATGGCCGCACAACCAATTTACTAGAAAATAGCCATTACAAACCTCACCTTCAAAGAAAATTTAATGACATGGGGAAATGTTTATGATATAACAGTACGTGCAGAGCAGGCCATAAAACTTGATATACAATATGAAATGTATTCTGTCAAATCATATATAAAATTGCCTTTTTATGGGTCAAAATGGTTGAATTTCATCACTTTCGTATGATGCAAGTCAAAAAAGAAAAAAATACTACAAACAAAAAATATCACTATGGTAAGAGTGGTTTGCTCGGTTGACATTTAAGCTTTTTTTTTTAAATCCCTCTCTCCTTATTCCAGTGTTCTACCTCAGGCCTTTTGCAATTAGAGGAGGGAAAAAGTATAATTTAAAAATAAGAAAAAGTAGCTGGGCACAGTGGATCATGCCTGGAATCCCAGCACTTTGAGAGGCCGAGGCAGGTAGATCACCTGAGGTCAGGAGTTCGAGACCAGCCTGGCCAACATAACAAAACCCCGTTTCTACTAAAAGTACAAAAAATTAGCCAGGCATGGTGGTATGCACCTGTAGTCCCAGCTACATGGGAGGCTGAGACAGGAGAATTGCTTGAACCAAGGAGGTGGAGGTTGCGGTGAGCAGGGATTGTGCCACTGCACTCCGGCCTACACAACAGGATGAGACCCGATCTCAAAAATAATAACAAAAACATAAAAATAAGAAAATATAAAAGTTTAAGAGCCCACCCCCAGCAGAGTCCAATTCAGTCCAGGGAAGAGATGTGGTAGAACCAGCTTGTACAGGCTTACAAGAGCATATTGAGTGCTTTTCCCAACTCTTCCTTCTTGGTGTGATATCACATCAGGTTGGTAGTCTGAAATTGGCCACAGTGAAATTGGCCATGAGAATTGGTAAATGCTACAAATCTGGGCCTCTTTCTCCAACCTACCAGCATACCACTGGTCCAGGGGTTTTATCGGTCCAGGACAGGACCTGTCCAGCCACAGGATACCCCTGATTCCCTGCTGTTGGACTGATGAGTCAAACAACTCTTAATCATCTAACCCCTATTCTGAAATTCCACAATCTGAGTTCATGTTCATCAAATGAGCTTCTAATTCATATGACTTCCCATGGGTCTCTCCCATAGGGACAGGACTATGTGATGGACAGGCCCATCAGGGGATACATGGACACAGTGGTTACAGTTCTCACTGTTATTTAATAAATTAGAATTACTCAACGGGAATGGCGGAGTTTGCTCCTGAGACAAATTCAGGCTCCACGTGCGGCTGAGTCAGCTTTCAGAGCCTCTGATACCAAGGGTGAGGTGGTGGGCTATGCTGAATTCTTCTCCCTGGGAGACTGCTTTATCAGCTGTCAGCACACTTACCACCCACTTCTTCCTAGGCATTTCCCCATTTGCTGTTAACAGTTAATAGTAGTTAGCATTTACTGCTTGCTTATTGTGCCAGGCACCATGCTAAGTGCTTGACACACATGATACCATTTAGTCCTCAGGAGAAGCTCATAAGCTACATTGTAGGAATACTAGTGATGCTTTTGGCTCCTGAAACCTTTGAATATCTTTCTTTCATTCAGAGACTTTCCCACCTTCTAAGGTAGAAGGTGGAGCTTGATTTCCCAGCCTCCTTTGCAGCTAGGGCACAGGCATGTGACCCAATCTCTGCCAAACAGATGCACCCAGAAGATCTCCTTTGGGAATCTGGTGATCTAAAGCACCATTGGAAAGCCACCACGGAAAGGGTGGCTTCATGGACATCCACGATCCAGTGGCAGGATGCAGATGACAGTGCCCTGTACAAGCAGGGAATGCAGCAGTGTCTGGCCCAGCAGCAGTGGCTGGGGCATCTCTCCTGAGGCAGTCCTGCTGCTGTGTAGCCTGCATGCCTTCCAAATCTGACTTGGTGGCCCTCCTGAAAAAGCCAGACACTAATGAATACCCTTTACCCAACTCCTGTGAGGTTTAACCTCCAGCATAAGTTTCTGTGAATCTCAAAAACATTAAGAACCCTGACAGATTTATAGGTAAAATTATAACATATCCAAGGTCATATAATAATCGGGATTAAACCCAGGTCTCTTTGATCCCAGAACACATGCTTTTAAGATATTGCTGGAATGCACCATACCTCTACCCTCTAGGTCAGTATTATTGCTCCCATTTTAAAGATACTTCGGAGATTCTAGGAAGTTGAAACATTTTCTCAAGGACGCACAAGTGGTTAGTGGTGAGTGGAGCCAGGATCAATCCCAGGGCCACTCACTTGTCCCCCTGCCCTTTCCTGATAGATGTACCATCATGACCTGACTCAGTGGTCCCCATCCCACCCTCGAATTCCCTAGACCAGTCTCTCACCCTATGTGGGTGATGCCCTGTGCCATATCACCTCCTCCCTCAACCTCTTCCCTGACCTAGAATGACCTGCCCTTCTCCCCACTTTTCATTCAAATTCTATCACCTTTTCAAGGCCTACAAATGAAGTGCCACCTTCTCTGTGACACAGCGACCCACAGCTCCCGTGAACTCACATTCTATCTGAACCACTAATTTGGGAGTGTCACCCTGTGCTGCCTGGCATGGTTACTAATTCTGTCTTTTCTTCATTATCACATTGACAGCTCTTGGCAGACAAAGACTTGTAGTTGTTTAGCACCAAGACCAGTGCCATGCATACAGTAGGCACTTAAGAACTAGTGTTCAACAAACAAGTGAATACAATAGCAGCCAACTTGCCCTAATTAGCAACTTGATCTATATGAGATTTTTTTTTTTTTTTTTTGAGATGGAATCTTGCTCTGTCGCCCAGGCTGGAGTGCAGTGATGTGATCTCGACTCATCACAACCTTCGCCTCCCGGGTTCAAGCAATTCTCCTGACGCAGCCTCCCGAGTAGCTGGGACTACAGGCACGCGCCATCATGCCCAGCTAATTTTTGTATTGTTAGTAGAGACAGGGTTTTACCACATTGGCCAAACTGGTCTTGAACTCCTGACCTTGGGATCTGCCCGCCTCAGCCTCCCAAAGTGCTGGGATTACAGGCATGAGCCACCGTGCCTGGCCGAGGTGTTATCTTAATACTTCTGTTTACCTCCTTCCCCTTTCCCTAGGAATGCAGATGTTTAAGATGGAAATTGGAAGTATCTTTCGCCCCTACTCAGTGTGGCAATTCTGTGGGAACTCAGCTACCATGCACACAGGCTAAGTAATAGCAACCGTTCTCCCCAAAATGAAGGTTCAAGAACATCAGAACTGTCTGTGGTGGGGTCAGATCTGAGTCCACAGGGCCCTTAGACCCAGCTCCACAGCCGTTCTACACACACATTCTCTCCCTCTCACCAACAGACAGTGTCATGCAGTCCTGCTGTGCCTTGCCTCGGCTTCCTTTTCTTCCCCCAAAGTGCACTGCAGAGTTAGCTGCTCCTGGCTCCACCCTCAACTCCATTCCCAATGCTCTCCACTTCCTTATTAACCATGCCTCACACTGTTCTATCTTTCCTCATGCTAAGCCCCGCCCCACACAGTTACGGACTGTGTGTTTGAGTTCCCCAAAACGTCATACATTGAAACCCTAATCCCCAGTGTGATGGTACAGGAGGTGGGGTCTTTGGGAGGTGACAAGGTCATGAGGGTGGAGTCTCCCTGATGGCATTATAGTAGTCCCCCCTCATCCATAGGGAATAGACCTCCAGCGGATGCCTGAAGCTGCAGATAGTACCAAACCCTGTATACACTATGTGTTTTTGATCTAATAACGCAGATCGCTACTAAGTGTCTAAGCGTGAGTATTCTATAAAGTATAAAATAAAGGGATGATTCGTGTCAGAGCAGGATGGCACAAGATTTCATTATGCTACTCAGAATGGCATGCAATTTAAAACTTACAAATTTTTTTTTTCTGTTCTGGAATCTTCCACATAATGTTTTCAGACCTCATTTGACCACCCGTAACTGAAACAGCAGAAAGCATAACGGCAGATAAGAGAGGACTATTTTACTGCCCTTAAAGAAATGCAAGAGAGCTCTCTCTCTCTGTCATGTGAGGACACAGTTTGAAGATGTCAACTTTAAACCAGGAAGTGGGCCCTCACCAGAACCCAGTCATGCTATCACCACGATCGTGGACTTCCCAACCTCCAGAACTGTTTCTGTTGTTTACCTTACCAGAACCCAGTCATGCTATCACCACGATCGTGGACTTCCCAACCTCCAGAACTGTTTCTATTGTTTAAGTCACCCATTCTATAATAATTTGTTACAGCAGCCTAAACTGATGAGAAATAGGCACACACATACCTGATGAAATCTTCACCCATATACTGTAGCCTCACTGCCTTCTGCCTCCTCCAGTGTACCTCTGGCAGGCAGACACCACTGTTTACCCAAATCCCACTCACAATCCTCTCCTCCCTGGATACTTCCAACTAGGGCTGGCCTGTGACACAGTTCTGGCCAATAAGATAAAGTCAGAAGTCTGATAAGAAGGGCTTCCCTTCCATAATTTAAAATAAAATAATAATAATAAAGTTCTTGAAGAGAGGCCTTTTTGTTCCTTCGCCCTTCCCATTTCCTTCTTCTAACCTGGAATGTGGACTTGAGGTCTAGAGATGAAGCAGCCCTCTTGCAACCACAAGGCGACAAACACAGCACCAAGCCCTTCACATTAAAAGTGGTAAAGTGGGAATGCTAGGAAGAGCCTAGGTTTCTGGGGCCCTAGAGAGTCATTGTGCCTGCCTGGACCACATACCCAAGACTTCTCATAGAAGGAGACAACTCAGAGGTTTTCATTGAAGTCACAGTCATAGGGCTCACTGGGCTTTGGAGACAATCACATTCCTATTTAATACACCACTTTTCCAGGTGTCCTTCCAATGAGACAACCACAAAATAGTGTTACTTGTACCTCTCCCTCATGATTTTATCACATAGTTCTGTGACATATACTGATTTGTACACTTTCTTAGTCTATCTTATAACAGCTTCAAGTTTTCTGAGGCCAGAGCTTAGTTCTCTTGTCTTTAAGTAGGGTCTCCCCCCTGTCCTTAGCCAAGTATATTAAAAACCTAGGAACTCTACATGTCTGCTGATCTAAGGTAAAGTGTGTCCTTTTTTTTCTGGCTCTATCTTTTAGCCAATGTCTCCTAATTAAAAGGAGGAATCCACCTGCCCTCCCATCTTCATGTACAGAAGGAAGCCATCTTCTGAGCAATCATCAGAATATCATGTATATTTTTCCCTGCTGCAAATTTGTTATTTACATATTAAAGTGGTTATTAGAGGAGAGAAGTCACTGATGCAAATTTGACATTCAGATGTCAGCCACTCCATAAATAAGGTCAACTGTGATGAGGACACATGTTAATCTCCAATTAGAATCGCTTAATGTCTAAATAATGCTGATGTGAGGCATCTGCCAGCCCCATCTAGACTCATAAACAAAGACACTGATGAGAGTTAACCTAGTCCAATGCTTCTTTCATGTCTCGCCATTTCACGGCTCTCAACTACTAGGAAACAAGCCTTCTCTATCTGGGAGTTGTTCTGGTGCAGTCAGTTAGTGAGCAGCATGGCCAAGTCCTGGCAGCACAGATTCTCCCAGATCTGTGAACCATCAGAGCCAAGAGCTACTTCGAGTTGTCCTTCCTGTGGCCTCAACTCAACTCTTCCAAGAGGAACATGGAGGCACAAAAAGCCTCAGAG